>NC_000021.9:45776607-45930503 GCF_000001405.40 Homo sapiens
TTATCATTATTTAATGACTTTGTCTTTTACCTTTCTTGACTTAAAGTCTATTTTATCTGATATAACTGTAGCTTCTGGTCACTTTTGGTTTCCAATTTGTACAAAATATTTTTTTCCATCCCTTTAATTTCGGTTCATATGTGTCTTTACTGACAAGGCTAGTTTCTCGTAAGCAGCATTTAGTTGGATCATGTTTTTAAAATATATTCAGCCGTTCTGTTTCTGGAGCATTTAACCTGTTTGCATTTGAGGCGATTATATGACAGGTTTGTTTCTGTCGTATGGTTGTTTTCTTGCTTTATGTATTCTTTGTTTCTTTTTCTCTTATTAATTTGGGTGGATTTTTCTAGTGGTACCATTTAAGCCATTTCTGTTCCTTCTTTGTGTGATGCTTTACCACTGAGTTATGTTTTCATGTATTTTCATGTTGGTAAATGTCATCTTTGTACTTCCAGGTTTAGGACTCCCTTGAGCATTTCGTGTAGGGATGATGTAGTGGTAACAAATTCCCTCAGCATTTGCTTGTCTTGAAAGGACTTTATTTACAAAGCATAATTTTGCTGGATATAGTCTTCTTGGATGGCAGGTTTTTTTGTTTTTTGTTTTTTTCCCCCATTACTTTGAATATATCATCCCATTCTCTTCTGGCCTGTAAGGTTTCTGCCCAGAAATTTGCTGTCAGTCTGAAGGGATTTCCTTTATAGATGACTAGATGCTTTTCTCTTGATGTTTTTAGGATTTGCTCTTTATCTTTGGCTTTAGAGATTTTGACATAATATGCTACAGAGAAGACCTTTTTGCATTGCGTCTGCCTGGGAATCACTGAACATTCTTTATCTAAATGTCTAAATCTTCTGCTAGACTTGAAAAGTTTTCATCTATTATTTCATTAAATAGGTTTTCTAGTTCTGCCTTTATCTCTTCACCCTTGGGGATACTGATATTTAGAATATTCTATCACTTTATGTTGTTCCAAATGTCATAAAGGATTTCCATATTCTTTTTTATCTTTATTTTTATCTGACTGGATTATTTCCAAGGACTTGTCTTCAAGTACAGAGATTCTTTCTTCTGCCTGATTTAGCCTATTGTTGAAGCTTTCAAATGTATTTTGTATCTCCTTCAATGAATCTTCAGTTCTAGAATTTGTTTTTTTTTTAAGTATTTGTCCCTTTCATAAATTTCCCATTTATATAATGAATTCTTTTTCTGATTTCTTTGTATTATTTTTCAGAATTCTCTTGTATCTCACTGAGCTTCCTTAAAATCAATATTTTGAATTCTTTATTTGGGATTTCAAAAATTTCTTTTTGATTAAGATCTATTATTGATGGAGAATTATTGTGTTCCTTTGGGGAGGGCCTTTTTTTTTTTTTTGGTTTCTCATGTTTCTTGTGTTCATACTTTGATGTCTGTTCTGCACTTCTAGTATAATAGTTGCTTCTTCCTATTTTTGAATTCACTTCATAGGGAGGACTTTTTCCTGAAGATGAATCTGTCATGTTGGTTGGGATATTCTGGGTTTGATTCTGGGTGCATGCAGTAGTGAAGTCTCTGTATGATATCTTTGTCTGTAAACAGCATTGGTGGTGTCTGTGATTTCTTCAGTAGGTTAGGGTGCAGTTAGTAGTGGAGCTGTGCTGAAGTTGTGCTGGGGACTGGGATGCCAGGTGAGCCAGACTTAAGGCCCCACTAGAGGCAGCATTGGATTGAGCGTGCCCATCTTTATGTCCCAGGGTGGCATATCCTGGCACCTATGCTGGTGGTTACCAGTAGGCCGATTATTGGGCCTCCATGTGTCTTGCTTGGATACTGGTAATAGCAGCAGTGGACCAAGCTGGTGGGTGGGTTCTTGCGCCCCTGGGAAACTGGCATGGGCGATGACAATAGCAGTGGTGGGATGATACTCTGGGTCCTAGGCAATGTACATTTATGTTGGTGGTGGCTGTGATGAGCAGGGAGGGCCAGTCGTCAGATCCACAGGTGGTACTTGCAGGTAGGTGCCAGCTGAGGTGATAGCAGCTGGGAGATGAGACCCAAACTCAAGCCCCTGGAAGGAGTGCTAAGGCACCCACAATGGTGGATTGGGTTGGGCAATGCCTGGGACCCTGGGCTACATGCTCTGTCTTGGAATAGGGTAAGAGGGTGAAATTGGGCTGGGTGGGCTTGTGTTCAAGCAAGACCCCCCAGTAGTGAGGGCAGGTACCAGCTTTGGTTGGCAGGGGTGGGTCGATCCTCAGGCCCCAGGTGGAGTGCTGGGTGAAGAGTGGGAGCAGCTGCACTGATCCCTGCCACTGGAGCAGGTGGGTCCATCCTTGGTGGCCAAAGCCTGGGTTGATGGATAGGGAATGCACACCCCTCTCAGCTCCCAGTCCCCACAGGGCTTGCCCCCCAGCCCTGGTGGCAGTAGGCTGTGCCTCACTTGGTTCTTATCCTCAGCTGTGGGAGCACTCCCAGCTTGTTCCCCAGTCCCAGCAGCGACAGCCTGAGTTTCCATAATGCCTCAGTAGCTGTTGGGCCCTAGGACATCACGCAGTCTGCCAAAGGCTAGGTTTGAAAATGGTGCCTTGCTGTAGCCACTGAGGTCTCAGGGAGTTGTAGGACCCAGCATGAGCTCCCTCCCTGAAGCAGCTCTGTCCCACAGTCTCCTGGCATCTCCTGATGTTATTTTCAGGGCTGGTGAGGGTTGAGGGAGTCTCCCATGGCCAGAATTGCATGATTTCTTGGTGGGGATGTGGGCCACTGGAAGTTTCTCACTCAGCCTTTCCTTGTGTTGGGAAGTCACTCTTGGCTCCTGACCAATCCCAGCCAGGCAGGCTCCCCCTCTTCCTTTTCCTTAACTCGCTTTTGGTATTTCCTGTTACTTCTCTGTTGAATTCACATTCTCTCTTGGGTAATGTATTCAGAAAGTGACCGTACATTCTTTTGGTTCTTCAAAGTGGAGGAGGTGGGCATAAATTGCATCTCGTCATCCATCTTGAAGCTCCTCTCCATGAAAAAAATATTATTTTTAATAACATTAGAAATCTAAATTGGACAAGAGATGTTCAACACTTGAACACGTAAAACTACAAAATATTGCCAACAGAAATTGTTGAAGATAAATACATTGAGAGATATACCATGTTCGTTGTTAAGATGACTCAATATTGTTAAGATGTTAATTCTCCCCATGTTGATCTATAGAATCAATGAACTCCCAATCAAAGTCCCAGAAGGCTTTTCATAGACATTTGACTATAACAGTACTTGGTTTTATGACTTATTATAGGCTGCAATAGTCAATGCAGTGTGGTATTGCTGTTAAGATAGACAAGTAGATCAGTGGATCAGAATAGAAAGTCTGGAAATAGGCCTGCACAAACGTGGCCAATTAATTTTCAACAACAGCGCCCAGGCAAATTAGTGGGAAAAGGCATAGCTTTTTAAACAAATGGTCCTGGAATAATTGTATATCCATGTGAAAAAAAAATCCTATACTTTTTGTCATTTATAAAAATTACAGTAGATCAGGAATTTCAATCTCTAAAACTCAAAAATATATAATTTCTTGGAGAAAACGTGAGGCGTTCTTTGTGACCGTGTGATCTTGCGTGAGGCAATGTTTTCCTAGTTATGACTTTCAAAGCATTCGTCTCAAAATACACACATTTATACACTGGGCTTCATAAAATTAAAAAATTTCTGCTCTTCAAGATACACTGTTGTGATTTTTTCCTCTGATTTGATATTGAAGTCTCTCTCTGGAAAGAGGTTATAAATTCTAGTTATGATCTGATGGGGCTCCAAGGTCATAGATGTTTACAGTATACTTTAATGGGATTCTTCTTTATCCTGACAGGCAGTCTAATGCCTACTTAGGCACCTGGTCCAACCTGTGACGAGGTGTCCCTTTCACGTGAAACTTGTTTATGCTGGCTGATGTCCTTGTGGCCCTTGTCTGACTGTGTCTAGTTTATTCTTGCCAGGGTGGCCACTCTCTAAGAGAGGCCTGATCAGGACAGGAGAGTTGGGTCTGGGTGTGTGGCTCGGGTGAAACACACAGGAGACAGCACAGCAGAGCATGAAGCAATGGAAGCATTTGTATTAAGTAATATGATCTCAGAGAGAAGAGGACAGCCATGCAGGGCCAGTAGGCAGTGGAAAGCCATGTGGGACATGTGCACTCAACCAGCAGGTGGGGAGCAAGAGAGAGAGAGAGCCAGGGACCGATGCGCCAACACTTTTATTGGAGTCTAGGGCATTACTCAAGCTGGTTTCCTGCAGGGAATTTTAGTTTGTGGGTTTAGATCAAGCAGCCACAAGCTCCGTGGGATCACACTGACTGAGAAGGTGTCAGTGGGGTACATCTGGGCAGTCATTTGGGCTGTGGGGGTAAGTGGGGGAATCAAGTAGGTTGTGTCTAGCTGTCCCACAGGAAGGTGATCACCAGGAGGCTGTGGTGTAAGGCAGATATCTGATCAACCACCTTGAGGACCCGGGAGGAGGTAGAGAACTGGAAAGTTTGTCAAGGATGACCAAGCCCTGCTCCTGGTATAAGAAAGTCCAACCTATATTCAGAATGGATTCTGAGGCAACATAATATTATAAAAATTCACTACATTCTCTTACATGGGTAAGAGAATGGAAAAACAAGCCACAGACTGGGAAAAACATTTGCAAATCACATATCTAATGTATCTAACATGTGTAAAGAACTCTTAAAATGCAGTACTAAGGAAATAAAGAACAAACAAAAATGGCTGCAAGATTTGAACATCCATTTCACAAACGAAGACATGTGACTGGCATATAAGTACATAAATAGATGCTCAGCGTCATTGTCATCAAGGAAATGTGAATGAGAACCACGATGAGAAACCACTCGGTGTAACTGACCATACTAAGTATGGGCAAGGATGGGAAGCATCTTTCATATACTGTTGGTGGGAATGGGAAATGGTACAGTTACTTTGGAAACATTTTGGCAATCAAACCAAGAGCTTATTAAATACGTACCTACCAACATCCCACTAGAAGGTATTTCCCCAAGAGTAGTGAAAGCATATTTCCATACACCTTTGAACAGGAACATCTGTAGCAATTTGTTCATATTGCAAATGTCTATCCATACTTGAATGGCTATACAAATTGTTGTACATCTATATAATGGAATACTGAGTGAAGTGTATCCATATAGGTGTGTACATATGTTAAAACATTTCAATTTGCATATTTACAATATGTACATTTTATTATATGTCAGTTACCTGGCAACCACTCACTTGCCTTCTGACGCTACAGAATTTACTTTCACTGAAAGTTTATATAAATGGAAATGCACAATATATATACTTACGATTTTTGGTCTGGCTATTCTTACTCATCATAACTCTCAAGATTCGTCAGTGCCGTTATGTGTATCAGTAGTTCATTCAGTATTCCATTATATATCTCAAAGCTGATTTTTTTTTTCCCCCAAAGAAAGCAGCATTCCTTTTTGGAGCAAGATAACATTGTCCATAGTCTCAATTATTTTTTAACCATGATGTTCAGTACTCAGTAAAAAATTTTAAAGCATGCTAAAACAAGAACAGTAAGTGAAAGACGAGATAAAAACGTGAGAAATAGACCCAGAGATGATTTGTATAATTGCATTACCAGATAAGAACTTTGAAATATCTAAGATTAGTATGTTTTTTAAAAAAGAGAAACAGACAGAAAAATATATGAAAAGATGGAGAATTTCAAGTGGAATCATCTATAATAAGAATCAAATGGACATTTTAGAATTGAAACATATAGGATCTGAAATTAATAATTTACTAGACATGCCTAACAGAAGACTGAACACAGTAGAAAACAGGCACAGTGCATTGGGAGGCAGTTCAGTGCAGTCAGTCTGTGTTGAAGCACAACAGAAAAAAGGATGGAGTCATTCAAGGTAGAATGCAAGAGGCCTGCAGGATGGAGTCAATGGTCAAATGTCATGTAATGAGCATCCCAGGAAGTAGGGGATCAGAAAAATATTTGAAGACATAAAGATCAGAGATTTTTCTAAAGCATCAAAAGACATTTATATTCAAATTCATGAAACAGCCTACCCTGAAATGAACAAATTAAAAAAGCAAGCAAACAAGCAAGCAAACTTTTCACATCTGGGCATATCATTATTTGTTGCAAACCAAAGACAAAAAAAATCTTAAAAGCAACCAGATTTTAAAATGGTCCATTGCTCTCCAAGGAGCCCAGCCGGCATACGGCACAATCTCGTGGTGGGCACAGCATACACTTCTCTGTGAGGCATGTCGCTGAGTGGAACTGCTGTGTCGCAGGTTACACGGAGCTTCAGCTTTGCTGACTGATGCCATTCTGGCTTTCTCATGTAGTTTGTACTCCCACTAGCAGAATACAGACTGATCTCATATAATGACCATTCAGGCAACCACTTTCCTCCATAATTGCTCTTCAAAAGCTATACCAAGTTTTGGAAAGCAACATCTTCCCCCTTTCTCGCCCAGATAATGACATTTTTGCCCAAAAATATGCTAAATAAACTATATGGAGTAATATTGCAGAAATATGGTTTTGGTTTTAATTTGTAAATCTTAATTTACAATCCGTCACTAATGAGGCTGAGCATCTTTCCATGTGCGATTGGCCATTTGGAGCTCCTCTTTCATGAAGTGCTTTTCTTGGTTTTCAGCCATTTTTCTATTGATGTCTGTGTTATGTATCAGGGATGATCAGGCTGGTCCGAGTTGTTTTCACCACAATTTTCATGGTAGAAAAAAGTGTAGCAAAGTATACAAAAATCTTTAGAGAAAGAAATGATATTCTCAACAGTACATTTGCAACCTGTAAGAACTTGGGAAAAGTGATTCTCACAAGCATTGTTGAAAGAGCTCCTGGAGATAGAACCAGAGGCCAAAAGAGGAATGGAGAAGGGGGGAAGGTCACAGAGAGTGGCGGTGGCCTCCCAGAGGCACAGCGCACAGCGGAGTGAGAAGTTAGGGTGAGGACGGGATTTTAACGTTGCAAGCTTCACAAGGTAGCCATGGTGATGGAGGAGGTCAGTGCACGGCCTGAGCTGCAGAGGCCAGGGCTGGAAAGATGGCCCTGTGCTCTTGGGGCCAACTGATGAGCTAGTAGGGATTTAAGAACATAGTTCAGTGATTACCAGTAAAAGAACCAAAACCAGCTGGATAACCTACTCACGCCAGCAGTGGTGAGGGTGTGAAGATGGCAGTTTCCTCCTCACCCTTGGGGAGCCATCAGTTATTCTCCTTCCTGGACCAGGCCGTGAGCAGGACTTTCACACACACAAAGCACGGAATTCAGTGAGCATAGAAAAGAACTCAGACTCACTGAAAATGGTTGCAGTTTTATAGTTTTAAAACAGTAAAATGATGAGGTAACATTTTTGTGCTTTTCAGTTTGTCAAAGGTTAAAACATTGGAGAGTGAATAGTGTAAGCAGTGGTGTGAAAGAGCCCCTTGTCTACCTTGACAGGGATGTAATTTGCAGAGTCCAGTGTGGAGAAGATTCTGGCTAACACCTCTGAAATAAAAAATGTACAATATTTCACTTTTTGTGCCAAGGTAGCTCTGAATGTGCTGATTCAAAAAAAATTTAAGGTGTTTTGATTGTAAAGAATAACATGGCAGGTATAGAAAAGGCATGAACATTTCACTCCTACCTGTGTAGAAAATTCCTGGATGGACCACCAGGGAATGTTAATAGTGACAGCTCTACCTCTACCTCTACCTCTACCTCTACCTCTACCTCTACCTCTACCTCTACCTCTACCGCTACCTCTACCGCTACCGCTACCCCTACCTCCTACCTCCTACCTCCTACCTCCTACCTCCTACCTCCTACCTCCTACCTCTACCCTCTTTCCACTGTCTCCCTCTGATGCCGAGCCGAAGCTGGACTGTACTGCTGCCATCTCGGCTCACTGCAACCTCCCTGCCTGATTCTCCTGCCTCAGCCTGCCGAGTGCCTGCAATTGCAGGCGCGCGCCGCCACGCCTGACTGGTTTTCGTATTTTTTGGGTGGAGACGGGGTTTCGCTGTGTTGGCCAGGCTGGTCTCCAGCTCCTGACCGCGAGTGATCCGCCAGCCTCGGCCTCCCGAGGTGCCGGGATTGCAGACGGAGTCTCCTTCACTCAGTGCTCAATGGTGCCCGGGCTGGAGTGCAGTGGCGTGATCTCGGCTCGCTACAACATCCACCTCCCAGCAGCCTGCCTTGGCCTCCCAAAGTGCCGAGATTGCAGCCTCTGCCCGGCCGCCACCCCGTCTGGGAAGTGATGAGTGTCTCTGCCTGGCCGCCCATCGTCTGGGATGTGAGGAGCCCCTCTGCCTGGCTGCCCAGTCTGGAAAGTGAGGAGCGTCTCTGCCCGGCCGCCATCCCATCTAGGAAGTGAGGAGCGTCTCTGCCCGGCCGCCCATCATCTGAGATGTGGGGAGCGCCTCTGCCCTGTCGCCCCGTCCGGGATGTGAGGAGCATCTCTGCCCGGCCGCCCCGTCTGAAAAGTGAGGAGACCCTCTGCCTGGCAACCGCCCTGTCTGAGAAGTGAGGATCCCCTCCGCCCAGCAGCCGCCCCGTCTGAGAAGTGAGGAGCCCCTCCGCCCGGCAGCCACCCCGTCTGGGAAGTGAGGAGCATCTCCGCCCGGCAGCCACCCCGTCCAGGAGGGAGATGTGGGGGTCAGCCCCCCGCCCGGCCAGCCGCCCCGTCCGGGAGGGAGGTGGGGGGGTCAGCCCCCCGCCCGGCCAGCCGCCCCATCCGGGAGGTGAGGGGCGCCTCTGCCCGGCCACCCCTACTGGGAAGTGAGGAGCCCCTCTGCCTGGCCAGCCGCCCCGTCTGGGAGGAGGTGGGGGGGTCAGCCCCCCGCCTGGCCAGCCGCCCCGTCCGGGAGGGGGGGGGGTCAGCCCCCCGCCCGGCCAGCCGCCCCATCCGGGAGGTGAGGGGCGCCTCTGCCCGGCCGCCCCTACTGGGAAGTGAGGAGCCCCTCTGCCCGGCCACCACCCCGTCTGGGAGGTGTACCCAACAGCTCATTGAGAATGGGCCATGATGACAGTGGTGGTTTTGTGGAATAGAAAAGGGGGAAAGGTGGGGAAAAGATTGAGAAATCGGATGGTTGCCGTGTCTGTGTAGAAAGAGGTAGACATGGGAGACTTTTCATTTTGTTCTGTACTAGAAAAATTCTTCTGCCTTGGGATCCTGTTGATCTGTGACCTTACCCCCAACCCTGTGCTCTCTGAAACATGTGCTGTGTCCACTCAGGGTTAAATGGATTAAGGGCGGTGCAAGATGTGCTTTGTTAAACAGACGCTTGAAGGCAGCATGCTCGTTAAGAGTCATCACCACTCCCTAATCTCAAGTACCCAGGGACACAAACACTGCGGAAGGCCGCAGGGTCCTCTGCCTAGGAAAACCAGAGACCTTTGTTCACTTGTTTATCTGCTGACCTTCCCTCCACTATTGTCCTGTGACCCTGCCAAATCCCCCTCTGCGAGAAACACCCAAGAATGATCAATAAAAAAATAAATAAATAAATAAATAAATCATATCAAAGTAAAAAGTTTCCAAAAAAAATAAAAAGTTTCAAAAAAAAAAAATAGTGCCAGTGAGCTCTGCATAACAGGAGAGAGTCTTGTTTTCCATTGTTGACATTTTTACTCTTTATATTTAAGTATCTTTTTTTTTTTTCTTTTTGAGATGGAGTTTTGCTCTTGTTGCCCAGGCTGGAGTGCAATGGCACAATCTCAGCTCATTGCAGCCTCTACCTCCTGGGTTCAAGCGATTCTCCTCCCTCAGCCTCCCGAGTAGCTGGGATTATAGGCGCCCACCAATGTGCCTGGCTAATTTTTGTATTTTTAGTAGAGATGGGGTTTCACCACGTTTCCCAGGCTGGTCTCGAACTCCTGATCTCGGGTAATCTGCCTGCTTTGGCCTCCCAAAGTGCTGGGATTATAGGTGTGAGGCACCGCGCCTGGTCTTAAGTATCATTTTGAAGAGTTATGAAAACCACCTAAGCCACAAATAATTTTAAGTCATTATTGTTAGTAAGAGAATTACATATATTGCTACGTTCGTTCCAACTCATGGTATGTTCCTGTTGTTTAGTAATTGGGAAACCTGAGACATGATGTGAAGTAATTCACCTGCAATTT
Organism: Homo sapiens; assembly: GCF_000001405.40. Classification (NCBI taxonomy): domain Eukaryota; kingdom Metazoa; phylum Chordata; class Mammalia; order Primates; family Hominidae; genus Homo; species Homo sapiens. Next base: position 45,786,766 of record NC_000021.9, read on the forward strand.
GGGGGTGCCTGCACAGCAGGAATGTTCTGGCACCATGACTGCTCCTAGGAACACAGAATAATAGTCATTAAAATGCTGTAAATAGCAGTGTGTCCTGAATTCACCCACACCCTCTGAAGAAATTATTAGAACCTGTCTCCTGCCTCCTTCCATGAGAGTCCGTGGGTCCCCTAGCGGCGTGCAGCCTGCTGGGATGGAAAGGGCCCGTGCTGCAACTCTGCATAAAGAATTTCCAGCTGTTGACCCTTCCCAACTGCTTCCCTCTCTGAGCCTGATCCTCATCTATAAAAATCATAATAGTGCCTGCTTTTTAATCTGGTAAATACTAGGTATATTGTAATAAGCCTGAACGTTCTTGGAAATCATAAAATGCTTGAAAATAGTTTCGCCTCCTTTTTAAGATTTTGCATGTGTTCATAATCAGTGCCTGTTTCTGGAACGTAATTCATTAGGATAACAGCTGGATCTTGACGTTTCATCTGAGTTTCGTTTTGTTTGAGACAGGGTCTTGCTCTGTTGCCCAGGCTGGAGTGCAATGGCGTGATCATAGCTCACTGCATCCTCAACTTCCTGGGCCCAAGTGATCCTTCCACCCCAGCCTCCTGAGTAGCTGGGACTACAGGCGCGTGTCACCACACCTGGCTAATTTTTTTTTTTTTTTAAATAGAGACTAGGTCTCCCTGTGTTGCCCATGCTGGTCTCAAACTCCAGACCAGCCGTAGCTCAAGTGATCCTTCCGCCCTGGCCCCCCACAGTGCTGGGATTACAGGTGTAAGCCGCTGTGCCTGGCCTCATCCGAGTTTTTTGGAAGTGTTTCCTTGCTGCCTAAATTATATGGTGGGGCCTCCAGGGAACAAAGCGAGTCCCCCTGCTTGGGCCCTGGTGGTCACTGGCATTCCTGCCCACACAGCAGTGGGGGACATCCCAGGCTAGGGCTAATGGCTGTCCACAGGGTAGGGCCTTGCTTCTCCGTCACTTTGCTCCACTAGACAGTAGAGTTTGGTTGGGGTCTGTAGCATGCCAGGCACCTTTGACGCTTCACAAATGTGTTACCAGATTTTTAAAAAGGTATTTCTGCTATAACTGAGGATGTGGACTGTTGCAACAGGAAAAGTTGAAAGCCTTACTAAAGAGATCAGGCTTTGAGGTATAGCTCAGGTAATGCTACCTGCAAGTAAAGGGTAACTTTTTAGCAGACTATAGCAAAGGCGGGGAGAGACTGGGGAGACCTACGGGGGAAGATGGGGGCACCTACAGTTGCAAGGTGGGCACCAGTTGTCAGGAGTTGACAGGAGGGCATAGCCAGGAACAGCTGGTGTCTCCTTACTGGGACATGCTGTGACCTGTAGAATCGTGTCTGACCATTTCTGGAGGATGCAGTACTGAATTCAAGTAACAAGGTGTCCTGTGAACCCCCCACAGTCAGATGGGTGAGGGATGGGGAGGGTCACGCAGGGTGTGGGCGGCGTGCCTGGCATGGGTCCTGCCAAGTTCGTCAGGTAACGTGATACTTCTCCCTTGCTTTTTGGTAGATGGACAGTGTGTCACCCTCGGGGAGCAGGTGGGCTGGCAGGACAGGCGGCCCCAGGCCGGGAGAAGGAGACACTCCCAGGTACTCTCGTCTACCCCTGCTGGTGACCTGCCTGCCCGGCCCCGTTCTGTTCCAGATGATGGCTCACCTGTGACCCTGCCTGCCCTGCCCAGCTTCGCCCCCATGTCTGCCTGTCCCCAACCTCAGTGCTGTCGGCTGACCTACCTCAGCCCACGCCCTGCCCTCTTTTTTCCCACCCCACGGGGCCGATCCTGACTTCTGGTTGCTCCCTTTGCTTGACCGTTCTCTTGAGGTTCTTAACCCTGAACTGCACCCGACTCCCATTGACCTCACTCACTGTGGGCCGCCACGAGGGCCCCTCAGAGACGATGCTAACGGCCTCTCAGATGCTGACCTGCTTCATGTCTATTTCCTTTTACAGGGTAATTTGTAGTGGAATGAGAAAAAAAAGTTGTATTTCTTAAACAACATGATCTGGAGTATGTGGTGACTGTCAACTTTTCATCTATGCAGAATGTTAATGACTCACCAGTCACAGGGCAGTTCTCCTCAGGTTAGAAACACAGTGGAGCTAATGACACATTTCAGAATTAGAAATGGTTTTAGCAATAATTCTAAATGAGGCTGGAAGAATTGAATTGCTGTCCAGATCCAACAGACTTATTCAGCCAACAGTAACCAAATACATGCTCTGTGCCCTGCTCTGTCCTGGGCTTAGAACACAGTGAGTGCACATCAATGGCTGTGTCCCCAGAGCTGGCCGTCCTGTGTGTACTTCATACCTGAGAAAATGAGATGGCATGCTCAGCAGATCAAGGAAGGGGGCATGAAGCAGAGGTCAGGAGTGAATGTGTGTGCACACGTGCGTGTGCATGTGTGTGTCTGCACATGCAAATGTGCATGCATGTTTGTGCATACATAGTGTGTGCACGTGTGTGTGTGATTGCATGTATGTGTGTGATTGTGCACGTAGTGTACCCGCATGTGTGCGAGGGTGAGTGTGTGCATGTGAGTTCATGTGTGCATGAGTGGGTGCATGTGTACATGTGCTTGTGTGCCTATGAGTGCACGAGTGTGTGCATGTGTTTGTGATCGTGTCTTTTCATGTGTGTATGTGTACACATGTGTGCATACATACATGCAGTTGGGGGTTGCCAGTGTTCAATAGGGCCGTCAAGGTTGGCCTTATTAAGAAGGTGATGTTAAAGGAAAGATGAGGGTGTGAGCCATGGATGAGGAGCAATCCGGGCAGAGGAGTCCCCAGCACGAAGGCTTTAAGGTGGAGGACAACCCGGGGCCAGTGTGGCCGGAGCAGAGCGAGCAAGGGAGAGCATCAGGGGCTGAGTTCCAGGAGGTGAGGAGCAGGTCATTTGTGGTCCTGTGGCGTCCTAAGAGCTTTTGCTGTGAGTGGGAGCCAGTGCTTCTTGTCTTAAGCAGAGGTGGGACATGCCAGTGCTTCTTGTCTTAAGCAGGGGAGGGACCTGGGCCGAGTTAGGTTCTCGCCAAATCGCTCTGGTGTCTGGGTAGAGAATAGTCTCTCGGCCGGGCGCAGTGGCTCACGCCTGTAATCCCACCACTTTGGGAGGCCGAGACGGGCGGATCACGAGGTCAGGAGATGGAGACCATCCTGGCTGACACGGTGAAACCCCGTCTCTACTAAAAATACAAAAAAAATAGCCAGGTGTGGTGGCGTGCGCCTGTAATCCCAGCTACGCGGGAGGCTGAGGCAGGAGAATGGCGTGAACCCGGGAGGCGGAGCTTGCAGTGAGCCGAGATCTCGCCACTGCACTCCAGCTTGGGCGACTGAGTGAGACTCCGTCTCAAAAAAAAAGAAAAAGAATAGTCTCTCAGGGGATCCAGTGGGGAAGCAGAGACTGGTGAGGAGGCTTCACCTGGACCCAGGTGAGAGGTGGTCCCGAGGACGTCATGAGAGGGTCAGATTCAGGATCCGTTTTGAAGGTAGGACCTTCAAACAGAGTGGAGGAAGTACTTGTGGGACAGGGGAGGTGAGGTGACTGCGGGGCTCTAGGCCCGATTAGCAGGAAGGACGAAGTTGTGTCCAGCACTTGCATCGAGGGCAGCCAAGGTGGGACGCCGTGCCATTCAGGCAGAGCAGTGAGCACACAGTTGGATAGAGAGACCCAGGAGAGGTGGACTTGTGCCTGTGGACTTGTGCCTGATTGGTCCCTCCATGATGTTTTATGCCGGAAATGGCATGGGTCATCCGGGGGCGTCTGTGGAGAGAAGAGGAGCAAGGACCCAGGCCTGGGGCGCCCCTGCCTTGGCAGGCTGGGATGCAGTGGAGGAACAAGCAGAGTCTGAGCCTAAGTGGCCAGCGAGGGACCCAGGAGACGCAAAAGCTGAGGGCAGTGCCTCATCAGGAGAGGAGAGATAGTCTCAATCCTGTGGACAGGTGGGGTAAGGGGAGAGCCAGGAATGAGCCACCAGAGCTCACACAGGTCCTTGGGGGTCTTGAGCAGTTTTAGACTTGGCGGGCAACAAAAGCAAAAGTGGGGTGCTCTGGAGAGGGAGAAGGACAGCAGAGGGGCTGGGGCAGCAAGGTGGAGTTTTGAAGAGTTTTACTACAAAGGAAAAGAGAGTAGTAGGGGGAAGGAAGCCAGTTTTGAGAGTGGAAGAAACAGTAGGTTGTTTCTGTGTAGGTCACAGCAACCAGCAGAGCTCTCACAAGGGCAGGAGAACCACTGGGGCAGCCTTGGGATGCCCAGGATGGGGGTGGGCTCAGTAGAGGGGCTGGCTGGCCCACCGAGGCCAGCATCTTGCAGTGGCGAAGGTGCAGAGATGGTGGGGTCCATCCCAGGAAGCCCCTCACAACAAGGCTGTGTTGGTCGTCAGCCCAGCGTGGGAAGGGGGAGTTTTGAAGACAGGAATCGGTATGAGATATGCATATTTATATGTTTTTGATGTACGATAAAAGGCAGTTTCATATGGGTCAGTGTAAGGTTTGTGCGGTAGAATTTGGAAGGCTGGGAGCATGGCCAGCCCAGGGAGTGAGTGTGGTCACTGGTGTGTGTGGCCTGCCTGTGGTCTGGTCTGGTGTACACTGAGTCGTTTGTGTTCTCCAGTTGTGTGCAGCTCCAGAGTCTAGGCACGGAATTGACAGAGAGTGAGACTTTAATAGGGTGTGGCTTTTGTCAAGCAAGGACAAGGAACCAAGCGGGTAGCCAGACACAAAGGCAGAGAGGAGACGATGGTCTCGCGGCGTGATCTGGGCTAGGGAAGGAGAGAAGCTCGCGAGGGAGGTGTGCAACAGCCGGAAGGCAGGTGGCCGCCAACAACTTTCTTTTTCCAGTTGGTGGCAGTCATAAGTTAATTTCTGTCGAAGTAGAATACAACTAAGAAAAAATTTTAAAATACAACTACCTCTTCAGCTTAGAGAATAGTACTACTTGGTTTCCCTGGTAACTGCCAACCGCTTGACTGACTGCACAGCAAGTGTTAGGTCGTGGCACAGGGTAATTACAGACAACAGAGAAATTGCAGGGTAAGGCTTAAATAATCCTAAAGCAACTATGTAGTTAGGTCCTGCTCCTGAAAGCAAGGATGCAGTTCATTTCCAGCCCTGAGCTGCACTCAGGAGCTGGGCCTCATGCCCAGTCCCCATCCTTAGGGCAGTGCCCGCCCTCAGGCTGACAGCCTTTCCTTTCCTTGCTCCAGTCGCTTGGGTGTGAGTCCTGCTTCTCCCATTTTCTCTGTGCTGGGACCTCAAGGCAAGCCGACTGCAAGCCCACCTGGCCCAGGCCACTGCAGGGCCACCCTTCGCAGGGCCAGGCTGTGAAGCAGTTGGAGGCGAGGCCCGGGGCTCCAGGCTACTGTGTTGAGATTAATCTTACCAACTAGAACTTTAAAAATTGTGTTTCCAGCCTTTATTTGAAAGTGGGAGAAACAGTAGCTTGTCTCTGTGCAGGTGGCAGCAACCCGCAGAGCTGCGGCAAGGGCAAGAGAACCGCTGGGGCAGCCTTGGGATGCCAGGAGGGGCGGGCTCAGTGGAGGGTCTGGCTGGCCCACCGAGGCCAGCGTCTGGCAGTGATGAAGGTGCAGAGAAGGTGGGGGCCCTCCCAGGAAGCCCCTCTGGGATAAGAGGTTAGCTTATCTATTGTCTGTGGAAAGAAAACTTAAATAGAGTTTTCTTTTTTAAAAAAGACAGCACAAGTCAGTCTTCTGGTGATTGTAACAGGATGGTCACCTGAGAACAGTCATCTACTGACACCCTGAACCAGAATCTCCAGAAAAGACAGAAATTTTGAAACAGCAGCAACAACAGAAATTCATGATGTGCTAGGAGACAGGGATGACTGCAGTCAGAGGACCAGATGTCTTGATTGATTATTAAGAGAGAGAAACAGGCGATGTTTGTGGAATCACATCACCACAGAAGACATGCAGACAGGCCTAATGCAGAGAAGAGTGGAAGTTAGGACGCTCAGCGCAGATTAATGGACTCAGGGAGTTGGAGAGGGCTGGCTGGCAGCACTTACTCAGAGGAGCAGAGCCAGGTATCCCCCTCAAACCCCCCGGCTTTGGGCCCAGGCAGTCAGAAGTTGTGTCGGGGCCAGCCACCAACTCCAGTGAGGGACAGGGAGCCACTTCCAGGAGATGAAACATTGTCACATGCAGTCCAAAGACACCCCTCCTTCTCCCTGCTGCAACACCCGAGGCTGACCAAAGTAGACAGGAACAGTATCCAGGATGAGCAAACCAAGCCTCTCTAAAGCAAAACTGCCAACAAGCTGGGAACCACAGCACGCTGGAGGGAAACCAGCAGCAGGAGAAAGCAGCAGCAAGCACAGCAGAAAGAAGACGTGGGGCCGCCTTCCGGACGGAGACTCGGTCAGACACACGGCTCCTTCAAAGGGAGTGCCAAAGGCCTTGAAGAGTAGACGGTCAAAGTGGCACAGCCAGGAAAGCAGGACTCACAGAATGGGCAGCATGAAGAGTTGCATAGCCACGGACTATTGAGAACGCAGACCCAGAACTGTTACCGCACTCAGACGTCAAAAACCGAGAGCTATTCCCGAGCACAGACCGAGGACCAGCGAGTCCAGGACTCGCTGATGCAGAGCTCCAGGACTGACAGGCGGGGAGAGCGAGAGGAAAAGCTGAGGCCAAGCGCGATGCTGAGAAGCTCCATATTCTGTTTAACAGGAGTCTGAGGACCAGGAAAGAGAGAATATTGAGGGGAAGATAATGGAGACATCCTAGAAGATCGTCTCCCCGAGCACAGAGCGCATCACAGGACTGACCAGTATTGAGTGGGCGCGGGGAAAACATGGCTGCCAGGACCTGTGAGGACCGAGTTTCAGATACTGTGGACAGCGGAGACTCCACAGGGGCTCTGCAGGAGGAGACGGGAGGCGATAGCCCCTGCAAAGCTCTGGCTGGTGATTGGCATCAGACTTCTCAATGAGAAACTGTACTCTAGATTTAATTAGAACAGTATCTTCAAAATACTCGGGAAAAATGATTTCAAACCTGGAATTGTAGACACAGACAGACTAGAATTCAAATTGAAGGGCAAAGGAAAAGTGTCTTCAGATAGTGAAGGACTCAGAGGTTACCAGCCTCATCCCTAATACCCTGACAAAACTAAAAAAAAGACAACTATCTATGAAAGAAAACAAGTTTTGATTCCACAAATAATGGAGAGGAAAGCATCCAGTGTAACATGTACTAGTCTAAATCACTGTTGGTGTATATTGGTATGCAAATTAAAATACTATTTGAAATAAAAATCTCAAGCATATGTATCTGTATAATGATGAGAAGGAGAAAAATGAAAGCTTACTAAACTTCAGGGTTTTTTTCAGGGGAAATTTATAGATGCTACTCACGCCCGTAGTATAGAAATGAAGGCTTAAATGGATTAATGATTTACAAGGAACCATTGTAAATGATTTACAAGGAACCCTGGCTCTACAGAAAATTTACAAATTAGCTGGATGTAGTGGTGCGTGCATGTAGTCCCAGCTACTCCAGAGGCTGAGGTGGGATTATCGCTTGAGCCGAGGAGTTTGGGGCTATAGCAAGCCAAGACCGTGCCTCTGCACTCCAGCCCAGGTGACAGAATGAGACCCCACCTCTAAAATTAAGTAAATAGGAGCTCCCTGAGGAATAGGGACAGATGCATGACTTCACATCTTGAACAGGAAAATTTTCAGAACGAAGAAAACCTCATCAATTCACCAAAAGGTGGAGTAGAATGGAAAACATTTGAAATCATAGAAAATATATAAGGCAAGACATTAATTCAAATATGAGGTTAGATTTCTCTATTAAAAGGCAGACCTCAGATTGTCTTAAAAATGACCCAGAGGCCGGGTGCAATGGCTCACGCCTGTAATCCCAGCACTTTGGGAGGCCGAGGTGGGCGGATCACAAGGTTAGGAGTTCGAGACCAGCCTGGCTAACACAGTGAAACCCCATCTCTACTAAAAATACACAGAATGAGCCGGGCGTGGTGGCAGGTGCCTGTAGTCCCAGCTACTTGGGAGGCTGAGGCAGGAGAATGGCGTGAACCCGGGAGGCGGAGCTTGCAGTGAGCCGAGATTGCGCCACTGCACTCCAGCCCGGGCGACAGAGCCAGACTCTGTCTCAAAAAAAAAAAAAAGGACCTAGAAACAGAGAATTTGTTAATGGGAAGGGCACTGAGCAATGCCAGCCACTAGAAAGCAGACCAGCAACGACATTTTCGTGAAAAAGATGAAAGGCATTAAATGGGACAAAGATACTTCACGTTTATAATCCTCTAAGAAGATACGATCATTGTGAACTTTTATGTACATAATTACATAGCTGTGAAATTTATGTAGAAAGAAATTCTAAGAATAAGAGATGGATTAATTCAGTACCATAATGGGAAATTTCAATTGACAAATCAAAGGGACCAGAATGTCCGTATGTTTACGAGGAATTTGAATAGCATTCATAACCCACTCTCTTTTTGGAAGGGGACACAGAGGACACTTGTCTTCTTCTTTTTCTTTTTTTTTTTTTCCCCTTTCCTTTCTTTTCTTTACCTTCTCTCTCTCTCTCCAGGACCATTCACAAATATCTCTGCCATGTATTTGATTTTATAGAAAATCTTAATTTTCAAAAGCAGAAATCATAAAGTGCAGTAAAAGTGGAAAAAAACACAAAATGATAGCCAAAAGTAACCCAGGCGTCATTATATACTTGGGAATTTTGGAATGCCTTTAAATAAAGCATACTGATTAAAAAGTAATGAAAGTGAGAGAATGTTGCACGTCAAACATGAGGGATGCCACAAAAGCAATTCTCAGAAGAAAATGTCAGAAAACCAGAAACATTTACAATGAATGAACTGGCCATATGACTCTAAAGGTTAGAGAAAGACTTAAAACCAATTCAAGATAAAGTAGGAAAAATGAATGAAGATAAAATAGAGGTTAATACAGTAGAGCATGGAAACTTATTGCTTGGTGCAATAAATTCTGAAAAAGAATCAATAAAATACTTAAACTGTTAGCCACTTCGATCAAGAAAGAGAAGGTGTGAAACCTTAAAACTTGGGAAACAGGAAAATAGATACCACTGCAGGTAGGAAGCTGTTAACACTCTAAGAGACTGCTGTTTACAGCCTCTGTGCAAAGAAATTTGGAAATCTAAGTGAACAGTTTTCTACAAAGATGTAAATCAACGAAACTGCCTCAATGTATGTAATGAGTCTGAAAAGACCCGTAATTGTGAGAGTGATTGAAAACGCCAGTCAGAGGGCTGCACTCTCACACCACCTGACGATCCCCTCTGCAGGTGGGTTTCAGCATGTCCCAAAGGGAGGGTCATGTGTGAGGTCTATAAACCATGCTGGTGTACAGAAACAACAAAACTTCTCCAAGTCATCTGATGAGCTCAGCAATATTGTCATGTAGAAATTGTGCAAGAATTGTTAAAAAAAAATCTATAGGTAACTGTACCCTCAGAAAACAGATGTGCAATCATAAGTAAAGTGTTAGAAAATTAAATCCAACCTGCACTTAGTTTTAACTGTTTTTATTTTCATTTAGGAAGAGCTTTTTACAATTTGGTTTGGAGGTTTTGCTGTGTCTCCTGCCTCAGTTTCCTCTTTGGGATGCTGTTCACATGTGTTTGCACTTCCTTGTCTGTCTTCTGTATGTATCACTTCTCTTGAATTCTTTTCATTGCTTTTTTAAAAATTTTTTAAAGTTTCCATTTTTTGTCTGTTGTGTTTATTTGGTCTTTTTGTGTCTTCTAATTTCATCTTTATTTTTGAAATATTTTTCTTTCTATTCCCACATATTTTCTAGTTCTGTGACCTCAGTTGTTTAGTTTTTCTAATTCTGATTTGTATTTTTTCACCTTTTGCACCATTAATGCCTTTTAGGCAATTAACAAATACTTGATTATGGTTTTTGTCTTTTTTGTTAGCATGTTTTTATGGTGTGTTTATTGTCAGTAAAGATGTTATTTAGTTTCTTATTTTCTTTTGTCTTTTAAAAAACTTTGTATGGGGTTTGAATTGTGTGAAATTTGTTTCCCAAACCTCTTAGAATGGAAGCATGATTTATAATAGCATTTCTAATTACATAGCTCTTGAAGGCCCTCTTGTGTTATTTTTATATAAAGTTTAAATACGAGGGCTTAATCAATGAATTTGTAATGTGTCTGGGGACAGGCCATGGAGAATCAGCCGAGAATTAGGTGGTAATACTGGCTCAGTGCTCATGTTCTGATTTTGATCATTGCACTGTGGTTATCTGGATGTTGTTTTGGGGAAACACATGGTACAGTATTTGGGGTGAAAGAGCGTGGTGTATGGGCCTACAGAGATAGTAAATATGTGGATGGACAGATGTATGGATCCGTAGAGAAAGTGAATGTGAATGCTAGATGGATGGATGCATGAATCCATAAAGAAAGTGAATGTGTGCATGGATGGATGAATGCATGGATGGACGAATGCATGGATCCACAGAGAGTGAATGCGTGGATGGACGAGTGCATAGGTCCATAGAGAGAGTGAATGCATGGATGGACAAGTGCATGGATCCACAGAGAGTGAATGCATGGATAGTTGAGTGCGTGGATCTGTAGAGAGAGTGAATGCGTGGATGGACGAGTGCATGGATCCACAGAGAGTGAATGCATGGATAGACGAGTGCATGGATCCATAGAGAGAGTGTAATGCATGGATAGATGAGTACATGGATCCGTAGAGACTGAATGCATGGATGGACAGATGCATGGATCCATAGAGAGAGTGATTGTGTGCATGGATGGATGAATGCATGGATGGATGAATGCATGAATCCACAGAGAGTGAATGCATGGATGGATAAGTGCATGGATCCATAGGGAGAGTGAATGCATAGATGGACGAGTGCATGGATCCACAGAGAGTGAATGCATGGATGGACGAGTGCGTGGATCCATAGAGAGAGTGAATGGATGTGCATGTGGATGAATGCATGGATCCTTAGAGAGAGTGAATACGTGGATGGACAGATGCATGTATCCATAGAGAGTGAATGCATGGATGGACGAATGCATGGATCCATAGAGAGAGTGAATGCATGGATGGATGAGTGCATGGATCCATAGAGAGAGTGAATGGATGCCTACATGGATGAATGCATGGATCCATAGAGAGAGTGAATGGATGTGTACATGGATGAACGCATGGATCTGTAGAGAGAGTGAATGGATGCGTACATGGATGAATGCATGGATCCGTAGAGAGAGTGAATGGATGTGCATGTGGATGAATGCATGGATCCTTAGAGAGAGTGAATACGTGGATGGACAGATGCATGTATCCATAGAGAGTGAATGCATGGATGGACGAATGCATGGATCCATAGAGAGAGTGAATGCATGGATGGATGAATGCATGGATCCATAGAGAGAGTGAATGGATGTGTACATGGATGAATGCATGGATCCATAGAGAGAGTGAATGGATGCGTACATGGATGAATGCATGGATCCATAGAGTGAATGTATGCGTACATGGATGAATGCATGGATCCATAGAGAGAGTGAATGGATGTGTACATGGATGAATGCATGGATCCGTAGAGAGAGTGAATGGATGGGTACATGGATGAATGCATGGATCCATAGAGAGAGTGAATGGATGCATACATGGATGAATGCATGGATCTGTAGAGAGAGTGAATGCATGGATGGATGAATGCATGGATCCATAGAGAGAGTGAATGGATGCGTACATGGATGAATGCATGGATCCATAGAGAGAGTGAATGGATGTGTACATGGATGAATGCATGGATCCATAGAGAGAGCGAATGGATGTGTACATGGATGAATGCATGGATCCATAGAGAGAGTGAATGGATGTGTACATGGATGAATGCATGGATCTGTAGAGAGAGTGAATGGATGTGTACATGGATGAATGCATGGATCCATAGAGAGAGTGAATGGATGTGTACATGGATGAATGCATGGATCTGTAGAGAGAGTGAATGCGTACATGGATGAATACATGGATCCGTAGAGAGAGTGAATGGATGTGTACATGGATGAATGCATGGATCTGTAGAGAGAGTGAATGCGTACATGGATGAATGCATGGATCCATAGAGAGAGTGAATGGATGTGTACATGGATGAATGCATGGATCTGTAGAGAGAGTGAATGCGTACATGGATGAATGCATGGATCCATAGAGAGAGTGAATGGATGTGTACATGGATGAATGCATGGATCTGTAGAGAGGGTGAATGCGTACATGGATGAATGCATGGATCCATAGAGAGAGTGAATGGATGTGTACATGGTTGAATGCGTGGATCTGTAGAGAGAGTGAAAGTGTGCATGGACGAATTCATGACACACAGATGGGCCGGAATATAAGTAATTGGATAAATGAGGTAAAGGATATGTAGATGTTCTTTTTAATGCTTGTACACTTTTTTCAAGGTTTGAAATTATATCACAATAACAAGTTGTCCGATGAGTACAGTAGTCCCCCTTTGTCCACAGTTTCACTTTCTGTGATTTCAGTCACCCATGGTACAGTATAGTGAGATATCTTGAGAGAGAGAGACCATATTTACATAACTTTTATTATGGCATATTGATAAAATTGTTCTGTTTTATTATTGTTAATCTTCCTCTGTACCTAATTTATACATTAAAATTTATCATAGGACAGTTTATAACAGGGTTTGGTATAGTCCATGGTTCCAGGTAGCCACTGAGAGTCTTGGAACGTACCCCTCTTGGATAAGGGGGGAGGGCTGCAGAATGAATTCTTCAGCCTTCTCCTCAGAACAGATCTTCTGCAAGACTTTGGCAGATGATGCTGTGACCCCGGTGTCACAGGCCAGGTGGACGGCCAGGCCAAGGTATCCGTGCCTGGTCCTGAGGGGCCAGGCACGCGTCCACGGCAGGGCCACCCAGAGCCTGGGGTGCTGGGAACTGGGCTTTGTTTTAGTTTCTCAAATGCTTTTCTCAAACTGGAATTTTAATTACAACAAAATTAATGCCGCAGAATATGATTAAAAAATAATGAGCTGAGAACAAGCAGCCTCTTGAGGTGATGTCCCTGTGGCTGAGCCCAGGAGGCCTTGATGCGGGCAGAGGCTGTGCTAGCTTCACCAGGTTGGCACCGGGCTCTCCAATGCCTGGTTGCTGGTGGCTTGGACAGCTGTCGGGGAGGGTCCTCTCAGCTCCCGCGCCCTCTGCCCACAGCTTGTTCTCTCACTGTGAGAACCACCCAGTGATGGTTCTTGTGCTGTTCTCTCTTCATGAATCATGGCCTGGCTTCCGTGCAGCTGCCTTTTTGGAGGAGGCTGCAGGAGCACAGAGTAATGGCTGCAGGTGGGGCCTTCCAGAGGCACAGGCTGAGGGGCCAGGCAGCAGTTCCTCTCTTGCAGCTTTTTCTTGGGAGCACCGGGCCAAGCCAGAGGCTCCTGGCAGATCCACCCACAGAGACAGCAGGTCCAGGTCAGGGCTACCCCTCGCACAGCCCAGCAGGATGTGGGAGCAAGCCTGTGCGCCCTGAGCCAGGCCTTCTGTGAAGTGCAGATGATGTCGCCTTTGTAGACAAAGGAAGAGACCTTGGAACCTGAGGGTAAATGGAGAGGCTCTTTACCAGCACTGAACTCTGAGCCCAACTGGCTCCAAACAGGCGTGTTGTGGGCGTGTCCTGAGGTGTGTGCCTGACCTGACCCTGAGGCCCCCTCCCTGCCATGCCTCTAACCCACCCAACACCACCAGCCTTGCTGGTGCCTCCTGCCCTGCCCTCTGCTCTCAGCTGCCTGCCCTGGTCACCTGCCACCCCTTCGTGCTGGGCCCTTGGGCCAAGCACCGCATGCAGCCTGGTGCACACCTGTGCCCTCCTGAGCCTGGGTGAGGTGGCCCTCCCACCTGGGCCATGTGCCTCACTATGCCTAGGCCACAGCCCGGGAGGGAGGATGTCTTTCCCTGACCTCGTTTGTGTGGCCCTGGTGCCCAATGACTGACTTTCCTTCTGCTCCCAGCCCTGCATCCTCCTGGGAGATGGGGTGTTTGAGCATGGGGTTCCCGCCTCCTCCTCCAAGTGACTTTCCTTCTGCTCCCAGCCCTGCATCCTCCCAGGAGATGGGGTGCCTGAGCATGGGGTTCCCGCCTCCTCCAGGACTTGTTGCCCGTTCTGCGTGGCCACCCGTTCTTGCCAGCATGCCCACTCGCTCTGACCTTGGAACGTGCTCTGCTATGGCCACTCTCCAACTCTGGCAATGGCACCAGCCATCATTCTATCACCTGTGACTTCCCCACTCACCCGTCCTGTCGTGCCACCTGCAGCACCCACAGCCTGGCTCTCACTGCCACTGCGTCCTGTGGGAGAAGGTCACATCCACTTCCCTGTGTGGATGGGGGTGTCATGAGGACCCTGGAGTGTTCTGATGGCCAGCCTTGTGGGGACCCTGGCTGCTAGCCTTGCCTTAGCTGCTCCTCTGTCCCCACTCACAGCCCCGGTGGCCAGTCTGTCTGAGTCCTGCCCTTGTCTACCCACCTCCTACAAGACAGCCAGTGTCTGGGCTGGCCCCTCCCTGCTGGCTGCAGGGCCCCTGGGTGCACAAGGAGCTGCAGAGGAGCAGATGGCGGCAGCTGAGGCAGCCACAGGGACAGGGCCACAGACACACTCAGGTTCCATGGCCTTGGTACATTTGCTCTTCTTGACATGGGTTTCAGAGAGGGGCCACCATGCCATGCCCACAGCGTCTGGCCAGGTGCTGGTCACTGACCCATCTTCACAGCATCTGGCCAGGTGCTGGTCACTGACCCGCCTTCACAGCCGCACTTGTTGTGACATACTTGATTCAGTAGATCCTCCTGGATGCACTCTGCTTATATGCCTTTTGCTCATTTTCTGCCTTTAGCTGCAGTATTCTTTGGAAGGAATTCTGGGCAGTATGTGCTGTTCAGATCCTGTCACTGCATTTGCTAATTTGTTGCATTAGCAAGTATTTGGCTTGTGCATGCAAGACAAGGTTAAATAATCCAGTGTGGAAATAGAAAAACAGTATGTGGAGATCCAAACCCATATAATTACTCCCCATGATCTACTCAGTTTAATCAGATTCTGCAGGTTAATCATGTTTGTGATCTCATGGTGCACATCCCTCCCGAACATCTCAGCGTCATCAGTGGAGCCGCTCGGTTGTCCTGTGACACTGACTGTCCCTCTGTGGCTCTCGGGGTCTCCCCTCCTCTTCCTTGAGGGCATCGTCATGATTCAGCAGTGACTTCTGGGCTGGGTGGTTAGCGGGGCTCCCTCCTTTACCCTCAGACCCCTTGGATGCCATCCTGGGCAGAGGCCTTGGCCCAGTGCAAGCTCTTTCTGCCCACATTCTCCTGGTAGCGGCTCTGCAGCTGGGCGCTGTTTCTGCCCTGTCATGCAAGTGGGCTGGGTGCAGAGGCTCACAGCTGGGTGCTGGGGCTGGGGGTGAGCTAGCTGTCCGGCCCCTGCGTCAGCACCACCCCTTGCTGTGTTCCTGAAGCGTCCTGTCTTCCATGGTCAGGATGCTCTTTCAAGACAGCCCTGATGGCATCACCTCCCTTCACTCGCCTCTTCTTAGCTTGTTCATTAAAAACAATTGTACTTACTGAGTGCCTACGTTGTCCTGTGCCCGGGCTGCCCAAGGTGGTGTGAGTGTCAGGGCACGTGGCCCAGAGGGCTCTGCAGAGACGGCTCTGAGAGCAAAAGTGAGCCATGCTGGAGAAGGGACAGGAGCCCCTGGGAGACGTAAGAGATGGGGACAGGCTGACGGAGGAGGAGGACCGGGCTGGGGGAGGATGGTGGGGCTCTAAGCAGGGCAGGAGGTCAGATTGTGTGTTTGGGATGTTCCTCTCCTTCATGGGGAGGAGAGGCCCTGAGGGAGGCAGGAGCAGGAGGGGCATCGTGTCCCCAAGGACCCCAGGCAGGGCCTCCAGGGCTGGTGCTGGGAGGAGGCAGGGATGGGAAGGGTCCCCGAGGGCCCTGAGCAGGGCTAACCCTAGGGAAACCACACACAGGCCACGGAGGGAAAAGCTTTTAACCCTTGTCGTGTATAAACGACTCACTAGGTCTTGGTGCATTTTTCATTGATACTCATATATTTACTGTTGAATCTCTTTGAGTTCTTTTTAATGATTTTTCTTGTTTTCAATAAAAAATAACATTTCCCGTCTGCATTGTACAGTCATAATTTGAAAACAAAAATTGTTTTGTTGTGCAAACACTTGTTCTGATTCTTTATCTATTCGTTGGAAGTCAGTCACAAAGCAACTTGAGAAAACAGCCTGTCTCTGCCTCCAGCCTGGTGTGCCTGCAGCTGTGTGGGTGCGTCCCCTCCTCACTTTCTCAGCAGAGGCAGAGGCTACAGTCTGAGTGGCAGAGCCCACCTTTCTGCTGGGGGTAGTGGCCATGCAAGGGTATTGGTGTGTTTTTTGCACATGCAGCTGGCCATGCTTTAAAATAAGCAGATTGACCTTTGTTTACCTTTCACCCCCAGAATGGTTTGGTCAATGACAGCAGCCATTTTTATTGTTTTTATTGTTTCTTTTCTGTGGTGGTGAAGGTGGCATCCCCTCCTAGCAGCTGCACACTGGGGTGGTCCTGAGGAAAGGAGGGCGAGAGCAGAGCTTGGGGGCGGGCCATGAGGGGAAGTCCAGGCCTCTCCACCCAAGGATGACCCTTTCTCCAAGAATCCTGCAGTCTGTTGTTAGGTCGGGAAAAAGCCGTGGTGGTTTTATACTGCCAGTGCCGGGAGCTTTCCCATGAAGTTTAAATGCAAACAGGACACTGAGGGCAGGAAGGTGTGCTGAGCTGCCCTGCACAGTGCTTGGCTCTGATGCCCACCCCAGGGTCCCTGGGCACTGCCAAGCTGGGCATGAACCTGGGGTAACCCAGAGGAACCTGGAGCAGTATGGGCTCCAAGAGGCCCCTGAGCTTCTCCAGGACCCAGATGGTGACAGCCTGGAACATGGCTTCCCCGTGGCCTCGCTGCCATAGTCAGGCCTCGGGAGGTGACCCTGTGCCAGGGCACCGGATGGCCCAGGTCCTGCTGGGGTGGGCTGCTGAGTCCCTTCCCATGAATGTTGTTACTGTGCTGTATCTCACTTGTGCCCTCGCTGAGATGAAGGACGCCTAGACCTTAGTGCAGGTGCCTTGGGGGCGTCCTGGCACTGAACATCCTTGAGACATCTGTGGTGCTTCTCTTCCTCATCTGTGGTGTTGTGGGCCTCCAGGGGAGGTGGCTGTCTGCCTGGAACAGGAGGCCCAGCCCACAGGTGCCCACTGCCTGCTGCCGCGCCTCCCTCTCTGCTGCCCGCGTGGCTGTAGTGTTTTTTACCCCATTGCTGTTTCGCTTGGCACCTACACGTTGGTTCCCTCCTGTGCACCGGGCTTTGTGCTGCAGGCTCTGGCGTGTTCACAGTACTCCTTTGGAGGGATTCTGTTTTTAGAATTAGTGGTACAATATCTTGTCATCTTGGTAACTTATTATTAATAAAAATGGTATAAAATGTTTTGCCTCCTAGTGCCCACACCATCCATGTAGATTATATTGATTTACTCCAGCTATTTGAAAGGCTTTGAGGTGGTGTACAATATCAAACCATGTGAAACAGCACGATTAACTGGCAAAACCAAAAGCCATGGAAATGAGCCGGGGAGCTTACTGAAGATCCTAGTCTTGGGGGAGATGTTTGGTGAAAATGTGTGCATTTGCTTATGAAAGACTTGTATTTATTCTGCACCCCCCTGACCCTGAGTGTCCCTTGGTCCATTGCCTGGGCTCTGTTGTCCTTACCAGGACTGCTGCTTCCCCAGTCCCTGCTGTCCTGCTGATGTGTCCACGCACCAGGCATTCGGCTCCTGAAATCACAGTGACTTTCAGGAGTCACTTGGGTTGTAGTGTTGGCCAGTTTTAGCCACATGAAGATAGTTTCTGAAACCTCCTGTGTGTGAATGACGGTTTTCACCTTGGGCCTGTCCTTCTGCTGCCACCACAAGCAGGAGGGGTGGGAAGGAAGGATTGCCCCCGAGAGAGGCAGCACAGGAAGGCCAGGCCGTGTTCCTGGGAGTCAGGCTTACCAGCTCAGAGCTGGGCATGGTTGAAATTCTAACCCTGCCGTGGCAGGCCCTGTGCTTTTGTGAAATGGGCCTCACGGGAGGGTGTCAGTGACGTAGATAAAGGCTTCCCACTGCCTGGATGCTGTGACCGCCTGATCCCGTGGTGATGGCACAGCCCTGCTGTGGGGAGAGCCGTGCAGCCCCAGGCCGTGTGTGGGAAGGCCTGTGCCACTCTGGGCATCGTCATCTTGGGCCATGGCTACCACATATGGCGCTTCCTAGCCGGGCACTATGCCACAGCCACACCCCTGTGGCCTGGCCCCCATGGCAGGGTCTAAGGCTGTTCCCCGGAAGCCTACCTTCTATAGGAAGAGGCATTCTTGTGTGACTCTCTGGTCATTTGCTTGGGGGAGCTGAAAACCCCCCAGGTGGTGTCTGGGGGGGAAAGTAATTGGAAGATTATGGGTGGGTGTGACTGGTAACAAGCAGGGGTTTGGCACCCCCCTTGCCCACCTGCCCTGTGTGCTGGGCCGTGCGGAGGTGGCCATGGGCAGCCCTTCCTTCTGGAGCCCCCTGTCTTCCCTTATCCACTGCCTCAAGGTTCCCACCAGCAGAGTGGGGCCACCTGGGTTGGTGCCAACGAGGTGCTCAGAGGCCTTGTGGGCAGTGTGGCAGAACGGCACATACAGGTGCCTAAAATCGAGCTAGGGGACCTTGAAGATAATGCTTCCTGTCTGCTTTTGTGTCAACAGTTGGGGCAAGCACATTTTCACAGGGAGAGTGTGACTGGAAGGACCAGCCGTTGCTGCTGGCAGCTCATCCCTGCACCTGAGCTTGCAGGCATGCTCCTGTCTTTCTGTGGTGGTAAAGGTGACATCCCCTCCTAGCAGCTGCACACTGGAGTGGTCCTGAGGAAAGCGCGCTCCTGTCTTTCTGTGGCAGCGAAGGTGGCATTCCCTCCTAGCACCTGCACACTCGGATGGTCCTGAGGAAAGGAGGGCGAGAGCAGAGCTGGGGGGGCGGGCCATGAGGGGAAGTCCAGGCCTCTCCACCCAGGAGTCTGTGAGGTTCCCATTGCATGAGAAGATGGAGGAGCCTCCTTGTGCTGCTGTGTCTCAGCATTAGAGAGGGCGGTCCACACGAATGTCATGTTGGGATGTTTTTTCTTCAGCTTCTGAGTCATTGCTGCCTCCAGGGTTATCACTGGGCAGAGAGCAGGTGTGATGTGTCTGAGGACCAGCAGCTCTGCACAGAGTGTGGAAGACCCCAGCAAAGCCACCCGGCTGCAGAATCGCAGAATCACCCTCGTGGCAGGCTTGGTGCGGACAAGTGGCTGTACTCCCGTGCTGGATGGAACGGCGGCCTTTCCGCCCTTTGGCCAAGTGCATGCAGAGACTCGAGCAGGGTGGGAGCTGAGGGCTGCTGCCAGCTACCCCTCACTGCACAGAAAGGGAAGTGGAGGTGAGGCCAGGAGACGTGTTCTTCCTGGAGTACAGGGCCAAGTCCTCCTTTCTTCTCAGATCCACTGGCACATAACCGCACCCTGGCTCAATGTGGCCCTGGATGCCTTCAGAACAATATGGCCAATGCAGTCCTCCTACTTTTCTCTGTCCCCTTTTCTTATCTCGTATTTTTACTCTAGAATTATGCTGGGAAAATAAGGCTTGAAGTTCTCTCATTTGTGTAGCACTTTGCAAATTACAGAGTACTTTTCACAACCTTGAAAGGTGGGTATTTCATCGTTCTTTTTTAGAATGAGGAGCTGAGTCATGGGGACCAGCCAGGGCCTCTCTAGTGAAGAGTCCTCCACAAAGCAGACCCCAAAGGGCCAGGGACCCAGGCCGCAGAGTCCCCACACCCCACGGAACATCTCTTTGGGGCCAAGGAGCAGCCTGCATTCAGAATTCCACTTCTGGTCCCCTCACCCAGAGCACTGAGGCACTGGGCTCTGCCCTCTCCAGATGCCGGCCTCCCTGCCTTGCTCTTGTTCTTTCTCATCAGATGCTCCGAGCTCCTTGTCATTGGCTCCTGTATGCAGCACTCACTCTCTGTGGACACTGCACACTCCAGGATTTAGAAAAACCCTTGTGGCTTTTCATTAATTTTATATTTGTGTTGCATTGCCCATTTTCCTTTCAAGAAAGTCAGCTTTAAAACAAAACTGATTTCTGCTATTTATGACAAACCCACAGCCAATATCACACGAATGGGCAAAAGCTGGAAGCATTCCCTTTGAAAACTGGCACAAGACAAGGATGCCCTCTCTCACCACTCCTATTCAACATAGTATTGGAAGTTCTAGCCAGGGCAATCAGGCAAGAGAAGGAAATAAAGGATATTCAAATAGGAAGAAAGGAAGTCAAATTGTCTCTGTTTGCAGATGACATGATTGTATATTTAGAAAACCCCATTATCTCAGCCCAAAATCTCCTTAAGCTGATAAGCAACTTCAGCAAAGTCTCAGGATACAAAATCAAAGTGCAAAAATCACAAGCATTCCTCTACACTAATAATAGACAAACAGCCAAATCATGAGTGAACTCCCATTCACAATTGCTACAAAGAGAATAAAATACCTAGGAATACAACTTACAGGGGAAGTGAAGGACCTCTTCAAGGAGAACTACAAACCACTGCTCAAGGAAATAAGAGAGGACACAAATAAATGAAAAAACATTCCATGCTCATGGATAGGAAGAATCAATATCATGAAAGTGGCCATACTGCCCAAAGTAATTTATAGATTCAGTGTTAGCTCCATGAAGCTACCATTGACTTACTTCACAGAATTAGAAAAAACTACTCTAAATTTCATATGGAACCAAAAAAGAGCCTGTATAGCTAAGACAATTCTAAGCAAAAAAAACAAAAACAAAACAAAAAAAAAACCTGGAGGCATCATGCTACCTGACTTCAAACTATACTACAAGGCTACAGTAACCAAAACAGCATGGTACCAAAACAGATAGATAGACCAAAGGAACAGAACAGAGGCCTCCGATATAATGCCAGACATCCACAACCATCTGATCTTTGATACACCTGACAAAAACAAGCAGTGGGGAAAGGATTCCCTATTTAATAAATGGTGTTGGGAAAACTGGCTAGCCATATGCAGAAAACTGAAACTGGACCCCTTCCTTACACCTTATACAAAAATTAACTCAAGATGGATTAAAGACTTACATATAAGACCTAAAACCATAAAAACCCTAGAAGAAAACCTAGGCAATACCATTCAGGACATAGGCATGGGCAAAGACTTATGACTAAAACCAAAAGCAATGGCAACAAAAGCCAAAATTGACAAATGGGATCTAATTAAACTAAAGAGCTTCTGCACAGCAAAAGAAACTATCATCAGAGTGATCAGGCAGCCTACATAATGGGAGAAAATTTTTGCAATCTATCCATCTGACAAAGGGTTAATATCCAGAATCTACAAGGAACTTAAACAAGTTTACAAGAAAAAAACAACCCCATCAAAAAGTGGGCAAAGGATATGAACAGTCACTTCTCAAAAGAAGACATTTATGCGGCCAAAAAACGTGAAAAAAAGCTAATCATCACTGGTCATTAGAGAAATGCATATCAAAACCACAGTGAGATACCATCTCACATCAGTTAGAATGGCGATCATTAAAAAGTCAGGAAACAGCAGATGCTAGAGGGGATGTGGAGAAATAGGAATGCTTTTACACTGTTGGTGGGAGTGTAAATTAGTTCAACCATTGTGGAAGACAGTATGGCGATTCCTCAAGGATCTAGAACCAGAAATACCATTTGACCCAGCAATCCCATTACTGAGTATATACCCAAAGGATTATAAGTCATTCTACTATAAAGACACATGCATGTGTATATTTATTACAGCACTGTTCACAATAGCAAAGACTTGGAACCAACCCAAATTTCCACCAATGATAGGCTGGATAAAGAAAACGTGGCACATATATACCACGGAATACTATGCAGCCATAAAAAAGGATGAGTTCATGTCCTTTGCAGGGACATGGGTGAAGCTGGAAATCATCATTCTCAGCAAACTAACGCAAGAACAGAAAACCAAACACCACATGTTCTCACTCATAAGTGGGAGTTGAACAATGAGAACACATGGACACAGGGAGAAGAACATCACACACCAGGGCCTGTTGGGGGGTGGGGGGCTAGGCAAGGGATAGCATTAGGAGAACTACCTAATGTAGATAATGGGTTGATGGGTGCAGCAAACCACCATGGCATGTGTATACCTGTGTAACAAACCTGCATGTTCTGCACTTGTGTCCCAGAACTTAAAGTATAAAAAAAGTGATTTCTAAGAGCGCTTTTCATTTGTGACTTTCTGCCTGTATCATTTCACAATTATATAAATATTGGACGACTTATTGTAGTAATTATCTTTCTGCATTTCCATCTCTATCTAGAATTTATTTCGATGACTCTATACATCAGGGTTCAGTTAGGAAAACCATTTCCACTCCACGCATTTAAAGAGAGCATGTTGAGTACAGAGAGTTGATTAGAAAGGTGATGTAGGGCTGAGGAGTACGGGAGATAAAGAGGGGGTGTGCGAGCAAGAGGAGGAAGGGGCTCACTGGGGCTGGAGTTGCTGGTGGTTCTGGGCTGGGGCCTGTCAGCCTGGGCCGGCTGCTGCGTGGGGAGCACAATCGTGCTCGGCTCTGGATCCACGTGGAGGAGCTGATCTGAGCAGGGCTTGACTCTCCTAAAAGGAGCTGCCCCGCTTCCCCCCTGCCGCTGCCACTACAGCAGCTGCTAAGTGCGGCAGATGCCAGCAGCTGCTATGCTGCGATCCGGGTCGGGGCAAGGCCCTCTGTCCTGCTGCCTCTTCCCTGCATCATCTCCCATCAGAGACCCTCACAGGAAGCCAACTGATGAGGTTTGGGGGGCAGAATTCTAGGGGGTCCTAAGGCTTCTGCTCTCTGGTGTACAAGCCTTGCATACACACATCCTCTTGAGAGTGAGTGGGACCTGCTGGTAAGGTGGGACATCACCCCTGTGATTATGCCATGTTACTTGGCCAAGGGGTTTTGCAGATGGTATCAGGGTTTCTAACTAGTTGACTCTGAAGGATCAAGCACATCAATAATCAGGGTGATGTCACTGGAAAGCAAATTTTAGCCTAATAGAAAAAAGATTTATTGTGAAGTTTTATGCACAGTATTGAATTTTGTCAAATGCATTTTTCTGCATCTATTGAAATAATAATTTACTGCCTTATCATGTTAATATGGTAAATTACATATTGCCAGATTTTGCAATATATAACCAATTTTGCATTCCTGGTGTAAACCCTACTTGGTCGTGATTCGATTCTGTGTGTGTGTGTGTGTGTGTGTGTGTGAGAGAGTGTGTGTGACAGAGTCTCGCTCTGTGGCCCAGGCTGGAGTGCAGTGGCACGATCTCAGCTCACGGCAGTCTCAGTCTCCTGTGCTCAAGCAGTCTTCACACCCCAGCCTCCCGAGTAGCTGGGAGTACAGGTGTACAGGGAGTACAGGGAGTACAGTACACCATCATGCCTGGCTAATTTTTTTTTTTTTTAATAGAGATGAGGTTTTGCCACATTTCTCAGGCTGGTCTCAAACTCCTGGGCTCAAGCGATCTTCCCACCTCGGTCTCCCAAAGTGCTGGGATTATAGGCGTGAGCCATCTGTGCCCGGCCAATTTTTGGACTTTTTTCACTAATATTTTGGTAATGATTTTTTATAGCTATGGTCATGAGAGACACTTTCATTTTTCTCATCTCTGTGTCAGATTTTAAAACCAGAGTTATGCTTGGTTTACGCAATGACTTTGGAATTATTCCCTCTTCCCTGTTTTCTGAAAGGGTTTGTGTAAGATTGGTGTTGTTATGTCTCTATGTGTTTGACAGAATTTGCCGGTGCCTTGAGTCTTCTTGTCGGGAAGGTATTTGACAACAACTTTCATTTTTTAGTTTCTATAGAGATATTCAAATTTCCTTTTACAGTTTGTATCAATTTTGGAAGCTGTAGTTTTAAAATGGCCCCACTTCATCTAAACTGATACATATGTTGGTGTGAAGTTGGTCATCATAATAATCTCACATTATCATTTTAATATCTACCGGATCAGTACTGACAACTTGTCTTTCATATCTTTTGTGATTTTTGTTTTCTTTTTCTCTTGGTCTAGGTGTTTTTCCATTTTTTTGTATTTTTATATTAACCTTCTTTTCTTTATTTTGTTTACTGTTTGTTCGCTGTGCTTTCATCAGTCTCCATTCCTATTTGTTATTTCCTGCTGCATTTGCTACATGTGGCCACCTTCCAACATCACCACAGACTCCATGGCTTACAGCACAAGCTCATCACCTTTCAGTTCTGCTGATGAGAGCCCCGACAGCAGGAGGCCCCACTGGGCTCTCCGCAGCAGTGCTGCATCCCTTCTGGAGGCTCACGGGGAGGACTCACCTCCTTGCCTCTTCCAGATTCTAGAAGTGCTCCCGTTCATCTGCTCCTGAGTCCTCCTCCACCTGCTGTGTCAGCCACAGGACCCAGTTTGGAAAGATTCTCCACTTTTAAGAACTCAAGTGATTAGAGTGGCCCCACCTGGATAATCCAGGATAATCTCGCCATTGCAAGGCCTGTGACCTTCATCACATCTGCACAGTCCCTTTGCCACAGAAACAGCAAACACATTTAGGACTGTTACATCTTCTTGATAAACTGACCCTTTTTTATTGTGAAACATTTCCCTTTCTACCTGCTAATATTCATTGTCCTTACACCAGCTTTGTCTGGTATTGAGACATGTTGGCTTGCTAGGATCAGTATTTGCATGCCATATTTTTTCTCATTGTTTTACTTTTAACTGTCTGTGCCTTTGTATTTAAAGTGTTTCTCTAAAAGTAGCACGTGCTTTGAGTCGTGCTTTTGTTATCTTGTCTGGCAGTACATTTTTAACTGGAGTGTTAAATCTGTTTACACCTATTGTAATAACTGATTTGGTTGAGTTTATTCTTCCTTCTTCTTATATGTTTTTTAATTGTCCCTCTCTTCTTTTATAGCTTTTCCTTTTCCTGCCTTAATATTTATCAGTTATTCCTTAGAATTTCATTTTATTTCCTCTTTATCTTTTAGCTCTGCTTTGTATTTTTGTTGTTTTAAAAATTTTAATATACAATTTTATCATTGTTCACTCAAACTTATATTACACCTTTTCACATTTACTATGAGGACCTTACAACAATATACTTCCATTTAACTGCTCCTTTTTGGGGAGGTCGTGTTGCCATATAATTAACTTCTGCACATGCTATCATAAGCCAGAAGGTATCTGGTACAGGTCTCAGTCAATTTAGAGGTTTATTTTGCTAAGGTTAAAGACCATGGGCTATGACACAGCCTCGAGAGGTCCTGAGAACATGTGCCCAAAGTGTGGGTTTTATACTGTTTTCTGTTTTTGACACTCTGTACTCTTTCTCACGGATCTGAGTTTCCATCTGGCATCATTTTCTTCAGTCTGAAAATTTTCCCTTAACATTGTGTTGTTGTCGTTTTTGAGATGGAGTCTTGCTCTGTTGTGCAGGCTGGAGTGCAGTGGTGCCATCTCGGCTCACTGTAATCTCTGCCTCCCGAGTTCAAGCGATTCTCCTGCCTCAGCCTCCCGAGTAGCTGGGATGACGCCCACCAACACACCCGGCTAATTTTTGTATTTTTAGTACAAACCGGGTTTCACCGTGTTGGCCAGAACTGCTGGCCTCAGGTGATCCGCCCGCTTCGGCCTCCCAAAGTGCTGGGATTACAGGCGTGAGCCACCATGCCCGGCTGTGAACATTTTTTGTAGTGCAGTTCTGCTAGGTATGAATTCTCTCCATTTTTATTGATTGATAATTTTGATGATGTCTTTATTTTGCCTTCATTTTGAAATTCTCTCTAAAATTTTAGGTTAGAGGTTTTGGGATTTTTTGCCCATATGTAATATGTCATTCCTTTGCCTCTGGCTTCCACTGTTTTTGATGAGAGGTCATTCCTTACCCTGTTCATTCTCTTTGTGCAATGTATTTTTTTCCTATTGCTTTGAAAATTTTCTCTGTCTCTGATTTTCAGCAGTTTGACTAGAATGTGTGTGTATATGGTTTTCTTCTCTTCTGTTTTTTTATGGGAGTTTGTTGAGCATCTTTATATGTGTGATTGACACTAGCCATCAAATTTAGAAAATGGTTAGCCATCATATTTAACTTTTTCCCATTTCAGTCTTTCTTCTCTTCTGGGACTCCAGTTAAACATATTTTAGACCACTCACTATTGTCACGCAGGTCTCTCAGGTTCTGTTGTTTTATTTTTAAGCTTTTTTTTATCTATCTGTGCGTAGTTTGAATAGCGTCTGTTGATCTGTAGTTCCCTGGTTGCTTTGTATGCAGTATGTGTTCTGCTGCTAAGTCCATCCAGTGAATTGTCTTCTCCGAAATTTTTATTTTTCATTTCTTGATTTCTAGTTGGCTCATTTTTATAGTTTCCCTTTTCTTCCTTAGATCTTCTGATGAGTTCACTCATTATGTTCAGTTTGTTCAGTCTGCCTTTCATTTTCTTTTTTGGAAATGGAGTCTCCCTCTGTTGCCCAGGCTGGAGTGCAGTGGCACGATCTCAGCTCACTGCAACCTCTGCCTCCCAGGTTCAAGCGATTCTCCTGCCTCAGCCTCCTGAGGAGCTGGGATTACAGGCATGCGCCACAACGCCCGGCTATTTTTTGTATTTTTTAAATAGAGATGGGGTTTCACCATGTTGGCCAGGCTGGTCTCAAACTCCTGGCCTCAAGTGATCCACCTGCCTTGGCCTCCCAAAGTGCTGGTATTGCAAGCGTGAGCCACCACACCCAGCCTTCCTTTAATTTTCTAACAAATTTATAATAGCTCCTTTAAAAGTACCTGCCCAATAACCCCAATGTGTCTGCCATCTCTTTATTTTTATGGACTAAATTTGTTTTCTGATATTGGACCATGTTTTTCTGCATCTACATATGTGCAGTATTTTTTGTTTGTATGATGTTCATTGGATAGTCGTGCATCGCTTAATGACAGGGACACATGCTGAGAAATGTGTTGTTAGGCAATTTCCTCCCTGTGTGAACATCATGGTGTGGACTTACACAAACCTAGCTGGTGCAGCCCACTACACACCTAGGCTGTATGGTACAGCCTATTGGTCTTAGGCTACAAAGCTGTGTAGTGCATGACTGTGCTGAATACTGTACGCAGTTGTGACACAGTGGCAATTGTGTGTTTAAACACTTCGAAACATAGAAAAGGTGAAGTAAAAATACAGTATAAAACATAAAGAATGGCACACCTGGGTAGGGCATTTATGAATGGAGCTGGCAGGACTGGAGGTTGCTCTGGGTGAGTGAGTGGTGGGTGAGTGGTGAGTGAGCTAGTGAGTGGTGAGTGGTGAGTGAGCTGGTGAGTGGTGAGCTAGTGAGTGGTGAGTGAGTGGTGAATAGTGAGTAGTGAGTGGTGGGTGAGTGGTGAGTGATGAGTGGTAAGTGGTGAGTGAGTGGTGAGTGGTGACTGAGTGATGAGTGGTGAGTGGTGAGTGGTGAGTGATGAGTGGTGAGTGAGTGATGAGTGGTGAGTGAGTGGTGAGTGGTGAGTGATGAGTGGTGAGTGAGTGATGAGTGGTGAGTGAGTGGTGAGTGATGAGTGATGAGTGGTGAGTGGTGAGTGATGAGTGGTGAGTGAGTGATGAGTGGTGAGTGGTGAGTGATGAGTGGTGAGTGGTGAGTGAGTGGTGAGTGAGTGGTGAGTGATGAGTGGTGAGTGGTGAGTGAGTGGTGAGTGATGAGTGGTGAGTGATGAGTGAGTGGTGAGTGGTGAGTGAGTGGTGAGTGATGAGTGAGTGGTGAGTGGTGAGTGGTGAGTGATGAGTGGTGAGTGAGTGGTGAGTGGTGAGTGAGTGGTGAGTGGTGAGTGAGTGGTGAATGATGAGTGAGTGGTGAGTGATGAGTGGTGACTGGTGAGTGAGTGGTGAGTGATGAGTGGTGAGTGAGTGGTGAGTGATGAGTGAGTGGTGAGTAGTGAGTGATGAGTGGTGAGTGAGTGGTGAGTGGTGAGTGATGAGTGAGTGGTGAGTGAGTGGTGAGTGAGTGGTGAGTGATGAGTGAGTGGTGAGTGAGTGATGAGTGGTGAGTGGTGAGTGTTGAGTGAGTGATGAGTGATGGGTGAGTGGTGAGTGATGAGTGAGTGGTGAGTGGTGAGTGAGTGGTGAGTGGTGAGTGAGTGGTGAGTGGTGAGTGAGTGGTGAGTAGTGAGTGGTGAGTGGTGAGTGAGTGGTGAGTGGTGAGTGAGTGATGAGTGAGTGGTGAGTGATGAGTGGTGAGTGATGAGTGAGTGGTGAGTGAGTGGTGAGTGAGTGGTGAGTAGTGAGTGATGAGTGGTGAGTGGTGAGTGAGTGGTGAGTGGTGAGTGAGTGATGAGTGAGTGGTGAGTGATGAGTGGTGAGTGGTGAGTGATGAGTGAGTGGTGAGTGAGTGGTGAGTGGTGAGTGAGTGGTGAGTGATGAGTGAGTGGTGAGTGGTGAGTCAGTGGTGAGTGGTGAGTGGTGAGTGAGTGATGAGTGATGGGTGAGTGGTGAGTGATGAGTGAGTGGTGAGTGAGTGGTGAGTGATGAGTGAGTGGTGAGTAGTGAGTGATGAGTGGTGAGTGGTGAGTGAGTGGTGAGTGGTGAGTGAGTGGTGAGTGATGAGTGAGTGGTGAGTAGTGAGTGATGAGTGGTGAGTGGTGAGTGAGTGGTGAGTGGTGAGTGGTGAGTGATGAGTGAGTGGTGAGTGAGTGGTGAGTGAGTGGTGAGTAGTGAGTGATGAGTGGTGAGTGGTGAGTGAGTGGTGAGTGGTGAGTGAGTGATGAGTGAGTGGTGAGTGATGAGTGGTGAGTGGTGAGTGATGAGTGAGTGGTGAGTGAGTGGTGAGTGGTGAGTGAGTGGTGAGTGATGAGTGAGTGGTGAGTGGTGAGTCAGTGGTGAGTGGTGAGTGAGTGATGAGTGATGGGTGAGTGGTGAGTGATGAGTGAGTGGTGAGTGAGTGGTGAGTGATGAGTGAGTGGTGAGTAGTGAGTGATGAGTGGTGAGTGGTGAGTGAGTGGTGAGTGGTGAGTGAGTGGTGAGTAGTGAGTGGTGAGTGGTGAGTGAGTGGTGAGTGGTGAGTGAGTGATGAGTGAGTGGTGAGTGATGAGTGGTGAGTGGTGAGTGAGTGGTGAGTGGTGAGTGAGTGGTGAGTGGTGGGTGAGTGAGTGATGAGTGAATCTGAAGGCCAGGACATTACTGTGCACTGCTGTAGACTTCATAAGTACTGTACACTTGGGATATGCTAAATTTATGATATAACAAAATTTATTTCTTCAATAATAAATTAACCTTAGCTTACTCTAACTTTTTTGCTTTATAAACCTTTAGATTTATTTTTTAACTTTTGACTCTTTTGTAATAACGCTTAGCTTAAAACACAAACACATTGTATGCAGCTACGCCAAAATATTTTCTTTGTTTTTATAAGAATTTTTCATGTTTAAGATCCCCTTCCCCTTCCCCCTCCCCGTCCCCTGCCCCTCCCCTCCCT
Source organism: Homo sapiens (assembly GCF_000001405.40). Classification (NCBI taxonomy): domain Eukaryota; kingdom Metazoa; phylum Chordata; class Mammalia; order Primates; family Hominidae; genus Homo; species Homo sapiens. Next base: position 45,816,471 of record NC_000021.9, read on the forward strand.
CTCCCTCCTCCCCCTCCTCCTCCCCTTCCCCCTCCCCTCCCCTCCCCTCCCCTCCCCTCCCCTTTTGTTAAAAACTGAGACACACACACACACTTTAGCCTAGGCCTGCACAGGGTCAGAATCGTGCATGCCACTGTCTTCCACCTCCACGCCTTGTCCCGCTGGAAGGTCCTCAGGGGCAGTAACAGGCGTGGAGCTGTCCTCTGCTGTGATCACAGTGCCTGCTTCTTGACACCTCCTGAGAGACCTGACTGAGGCTGTTCTATGTTAACTTTTTTTTTTTTAATAAATAGAAGGAGTACACTAGAATAATGGTAAAAATATAGTATAGTAAATACACAAACCAGTAACACCATCGTTTATTATCATCGTCAGGTATTACTATTGTAAGTAATTGTACGAGTTACGCTCTGATGTGACTGGCAGGGCAGCAGGTGAGTTTACACCAGTATCACCACAGGCGTGGGGGGAGCCAGCTGCACTCCTTCCTAAGGAGGCCACAGCGTTGCAGGGTGATGGGACTTTTCAGCTCCATTCTAATTTTAAGGGACGGCTGTGGTATATGGCACGTCTGTTGTTGCCTGAAATGCCGTTGTGTGGCACGTGACTATATATGCTACGCTGTTAAGAATTTGGGGTGTTGTGTTTGTTGTTTTTGGTTTTTATTTCTGCAGGCATCTAATTTACCGAAACTTCATGTCATGGCTCGGTCGAACTTTGTCAAGGAAAGTCTTCACTATCCCTTCCTCTAGAACTTAACGTTGTCCTCCTCCTAAGGTGTAGCCTTTCATGGGTCTCAAGTGAACACCCTGGATGCTGAGTGAGGGGCCTCCACTGTGGCTGTGAGCAGTCCCCGCCTCGTGGTACCACATGACATTTAGCGTGTCTGTTCACCTCATACTCCCCAGTAGTTCTGTCTCTCTCTGCCATTCCTCATGGAGTCCTTGCGTGCACAGCATAGTATTTGGCCAACATCTTCCTGCAGTTTGGGGGCCCCGTCTCCTCTTAGCTCTTGCCTCTGCTGTCCCCATCTCCCATATTCCAGCTGCTGCCGCAGCCCCCATGCTTGCCTTTTGTCCTCAGCCCCCCAGCGAGGCAGCAGCTTGTGTGTGTGCTGCACTGCCGTGAGCAGCAACTTGACAGTGGACGCAGCTAGAAAGCAGCCGGCGAGGAGCTCAGCGTGTGTCTCCGCCGGGTGAAAGATCACAGTCCTGCACCCTGCTGTGCAATGCTCGAACACACTTGCTTCTTATTTCTGTCCAATTCTTAAGGTTTTTACTGTGGGATCATAAGTCCTTACTCCTTCATGGTTGGAATCAAAATCCAAAACCTTGTGGTTTCCATTTTCAGTTGATGATATCCTTATGAACTCAGGATTTATTTCACTTTTGAAAAGTTAATAGTCTTTATGTTTTAGGGCAATTGTATTCTACAATACAGAAAAATTATTGGAAAGTATAGAGCGTGCCACCTCCTCCCCTCATACAGAGCTTCTCCTGTTACGTACATCTTGCCTCAAGTGTGGTACAGTCAATGAACCAATATTGGTACATTATTATTATTATTTTTTGAGACAGAGTCTCGCACTGTCGCCCAGGCTGGAGTGCAGTGGTGCGATCTTGGCTCACTGCAACCTCCACCTCCCGGGTTCACACCATTCTCCTGCCTCAGCCTCCCGAGTAGCTGGGACTACAGGTGCGTGCCACCAAGCCTGGCTGATTTTTTGTATTTTAATAGAGACGGGGTTTCACCTTGTTAGCCAGGATGGTCTCGATCTCCTGACCTCATGATCTGCCCGCCTCGGCCTCCTAAAGTGCTGGGATAACAGGTGTGAGCCACCGCGCCGGCCTGGTTCATTGTTATTCACGGATGGTCATAGTTTGCATTGGGGCTCACTGTGTTGAACACAGGTTTTGACAAGTGTCCAGTGACACGTGTCCCTGTCATTACTGTGTCATACAGAAGAGCTCCACTGCCCCCATGCGCTTCACGTACTCACTCCTCCCGTCCCTGAAGCCCCTGGCAACCACTCATGTTTTTATTGTCACTATAGTTTTGCCATTTGCAGAATGTTTTGTAAGAAACTGCCACAGTTTTGTAAGAAACTGCCAAACTACCTTCCCAAGTGGTTGCATCACTTTGCAAACTAAAATCTCTCTAACCGTGAGATCTATTAGTCATGCTCCTTGGTATTTACTCAAAGGATTTGAAAACTTCAGCCTACACAACAACCTGCACACAGATGTTTATAGCAGCTTTGTTTATCATTGCCAACACTTGGAAGCAACCAAGACATCCTTTAGTAGGCAAATGAATACACCAGTGGTGCATCCAGACAGTGGAATATGATTCAGCACTACAAAGAAATGAGCTGTCAAACCATGAAGTGATGCGGAGGAACCTTGAATGCGTGTTACTTAGTGAAAGAGGCCAGCCTGAAAAGGCTGCATGCTATACGATTCCAACTATATGACATTCTGGAAAAGACAAAACTATAAAAATAGTATAAAGATCAGTGGTTGCCAAGAGTTGGGCGGAGAGATGGATGTGTAGGTGGATCACAGAGTACTTTTACTACAGGGAAAATACTCCGGGTGATGCTGTAATGGTGGATGCGTGTCATTACACATTTGCCCAAACCACAGAGTACAGCACCGAGCGTGAGCCCTGCTGTGAACTCTGGACCTGGGGGGTGGTGATGTGCCCACATGGGTTTGGTTGTGACTCATGTACTGCTCTGGTGGCGGGCTGTGGGGGATGGGCCGTGGGGGATGGGGGTATATAGGAAATCTCTGTGTTTTGTGCTCAGTTTGCTGCTCTAAAAAATAAAACCTAAACAAAGCAGTCGGAGTCCCTGAAGACTGTCCTGTGACAGAGCAGGAAGGGCTCCCTTAGCTCTGAGGGAAAGCGCTGGTTATGTATTTGCTCTTCTCCCAAGAACACACAGTCTAATTTTGATCCTCTTTACAGACGGGATGAAGGGCATGTTCATCAAGTAAGCGGATGCAGGTGCAGAGACCACACCTGGCACGACACTGCCGTTGGGCACCCCAAGGCCGAGGCCGGCAGCCACTGTTGTCCCCAGAGTCCATCTGGTTTCTAGAGTGGAAAATGGAAAGGGGTCAAACCGCCCACGCAGCCCTGAAGTCCTTGATGGTAGTGTAGATTCTACAGTCTTCCCCAGGTGCTATCTTGGCTGAGGTGGGGAAGGCTCCTGGGGACTGTACTTGGCCTTTTCTGCCTTAATATCCTGCTCAAGGCCGGGGCCAGAGGGCTTGTCTGGCAGCTGCTGGGCGCCTCTGTCCAGTGCTGTACCAGAACGTCTAGCAGATGGGTGTGCGGGCACAGGGCCTCTGCCAGATGGACTCGGGCCAAGCTCCGTCTGTCATGTTAATTGTGGGTCCATGATGGTGTCTGAGTCCCCTGGAGTGGGCAGGAGCTCAGGCCCCAGACCCAGCCATTGTCTGAAGGTCCAGGGCCTGGCCACTCACTCTGCCCATCATGCTGTCACTCCAGGCAGTTACTCAGGCCCGCTGGGGAAGGTGGGGTGAATGTTTGCTCTACACCGCAGGACTGTTGCGGGTCTTCCCTGGAGACTGGGTCTCCGTTTCAGCCACTGGCTCTGACCCATGGACCAGCTCAGACCTCATCTCCTCTGAAGGGAGTGGCGCTGGCCTTTTCCTGGCTCTCGGCTATGTGTGGGATGATGCTGGCCTTCTCCCGGCTGTCAGGTGTTTTTGGTGTGTCCATGTCAAGTGTATCCGTCCTGGGAACACCCAGTCCGGCTGCCATGGCAGTGGGCACCACGGGCCAGCACACCTTTGCTGCCTGTGAGGTCGTTGCGCCTACCTGGCCCCATGGGCCCCATTTTATCTCGTCGCTTTGCTGTCTGGGAACTTTGTCACCCACGGATAGGAGTGCCAGGCCCAGGAGGATGTCACGCAGTGTTGGCACTTCAGCTTGGCTGCTGTTCTCCCACAATCCTTGTGAGGGCCTGTGATGACCCAGGTCAGGATAGGACAGGTGGCTTGGGTTCTGCGGGCCACACGGTCTGCAGTGTGCGTGGCCTTGACCTGGTGCTGGAAGGCAGCTGCAGACCACGAGTCAAGGAGGGGGTGAGACTGTGCTCCGGGGAAACGTGGATTGTGGATATGGGCAGCCAGCGGGGCCTGCAGACCCCTGGGTTAGAGCCAAGCCCCAGAGGCACCTTGGTTTCTGAGAAGCCAGAGGAGGGAGTTCCTGGGACCTGGGGGATGACCATGGACCTCTGCTGCCACCTCGTGGCAGGGCTGACGTATCTGAGCCACGTCCTTTTCTCCCGGTTTAGAAATATCCTGGTGGGAGGCGCTTTTTCATCCTTGCAGCAGACAGGCAGCTCTGTTGGCCACACGATCTGGGCTGTGTGCCCCGCCTTCAGCAGAGGCCCTCAGGACCCTGCGGGATACAGCCTCGAGAGGACAGAGCCTCAGACTCTGAAGGCCACAGCAGTGATAGCACACCTGTGTCTGAGGAGTGCGTTCTGAGAGGAGACCCGGCCCCTCGTCCTTGTCCATCCATGTGGCTTCTGCAAAGCACCCTTGTCTTGCAGAGCCAGCGAGCCTGGCGTTGTGACCTGGGCTAACTTGGTACCTTTTCTCTTTTTAGAGGCAGAATCCTTTCTTGAGAACAGCATCTTTCAACTCTTGACCTGCTCCCCCTTCCCGGTTCCCACTTTTTGCCTGGCAGGCTGGGAGGGACCCCCTCTCCTGTGCAGCCTCTCCCTAATCCTGGATTCCGCAGGGGCTCCAAGACCCTCAGGGTCGCCAGTGACTCCTGGGTCACACTGGCCCAGCACACACTGAGCTCCAGCCTGATGTCCAGCCCAGGAGGTCCTCAACTGAGGTCCAGTACCCCCCTGCACCACGCTGTGGGCCCCGCACCCTCCCCCAACTCTTTTCTACAACACTCTTCCCCCTGCACCGTGCTGTGGGCCCCGCACCTTCCCCCAACTCTTTTCTAGAACACTCTTCCCCCTGCACCACGCTGTGGGCCCTGTGCCTTCCCCTAACTCATTTCTAGAATACTCTTCCCTGCCTGCACCCTGCTGTGGGCCCCGCCCCCTCCCCTAACTCATTTCTAGAACTCTCTTCCTCACCTGTCTCCCTGGTTCTTGTTCTGGCTTCTCCACGGGACCCTCCTGTCCTCCCGTGTGATGCTGACTGCTCGTGACATGTTGCAGCCTGTCTCTGCTCCCTTCCCTGCTCTTGTCACTTCTTGCTGGTGCTCTGTGGCTGTCATGCAGACTGGGGTTGGGGTTCTGTTCCCTCTACTGTACTGGAGCTCCAGGTCATGGGAGGCAGCAGAGCCCAGCCCTGGCCCTTCGAGCTTCCGTCCTGCAAGCACCGGCAGTGTCAGGGAGGCACCGCCCAGGGGAGGCTCCTCCTTAGGGTGCATTGTCACTCGGCGTTTCCGACACCTGCTCTCATCATTTTCCTACCTTCTCTTTCCTGACAACTTAGCTATTTATCAGACCCCAAAATCATGAGCCTTGAGAAATGATATTCCACATGCTCATCCTCTGGAGGACACCTGGAACTGAGCTTGCTTCCCTGCTCACCCTGGGAAGTGGTTTCACAATGTCCCTCAACGTGTGACTATCACCCATAGCCTCCGGTATCTCTCTGTGTTCAGTGTGAGGCCATTTGCTCGTTTGACCCTTTTGAAGGTCAGGAGAAGCTGGCAGGACTCCTGCAGGCACAGGCACCGGCACCGTCATCCTGGGAGCCATCGGGGTCCTCAGCCCCCACTGCAGCCTGAGCCTTTCCTCTGGCCGCACTGTCCATTTCTTTAGCTCCTCTTTTGCCTTTTCTGGGGCCTTCTCCGGTGTTCTGCGTTCTTTTAAATGTTTCATGGTTAAAACTGGACACATCCCCCAAGAAGCTATAAATCAACCATAGCAAGAACTGATCTCTTTCCAGGTGACTATAAAAATGATTTTTTAAAAATGGTTCTTTAAAAATTGTCAGTTAAGCAGATAACAGACCCAAGACAGGGCCAGGAGAGTGAGGGGCGGATATGGCATGGGACAGGGTTAGGAGAGCAAGGGGTGGACCTGGCATGGGACAGGATTAGGAGAGCAAGGGGCGGACCCAGCACAGGATAGGGCCAGGAGAGCAAGGGGCGGACCCGGCATGGGACAGGGTTAGGAGAGTGAGGGGCGGACCCAGCAGGGGACAGGGTTAGGAGAGTGAGGGACAGGGTTAGGTGCACGAGGGGCAGACCTGGCACAGGACACACCCATCTTGGTTGTGAGTTTCTGACTCTTCTTGGTTTTGGTGACCTTGACTGTCCTGAGCAGGACTAATCAGGCATTTTTCAGGCTATCCCTCTGCTGGGATCTGTCTGATGCTTTTCTCATGGGTACAGGAAGGGGCTATGAGTTTGAGGAGGAAGCCCCCAGAGGTGAAGTACCACTGTCACCCCATGGTATCGGGCACACCCTGTCACTGTGACTCACATGTGAGGCTGACCTGGGCCCTAGCGGGGGGTAAGGTCTTCCCCCTCCATGCTGTCCTCTTATAGGACATCGGTCTGTGCAACCTAAGGGTGAGATAAGATTGTAGTTTTATTCAACTCTTACTTTTAAAATTTTACAAGGACTCACATTGACGTAGTGGGTGAGATTAGAATTAGACTTTTTAACTTTCTGGCCTAAAACTGATTGTACTGGCACCTTTTGTGAAATGACCTCTGCAGTCCCCATGACCCCTCAGGTCAGTCACCTCTGTTCCCTGCATGTCGTCCTCCCCAGCGCCCGCTGGCATGGCTGCTCTGCTGTGCCAGGAACACAGGGTTTCAGAGTTTCAGAAAACGTCGGCCTTAATTCCTTCAGGGGACCTTCCACACTGTGCAGCTCCAGGAGAAGTCCTGCTGGGGATTCGGTTGAGGTGGTGTCTGGTCTCTTCATGAGTGGAAAGTGCAGCCATTTAACCCCCTTGACCTCCCACCCCAGGCGTGGACTTTCCGCTGTGCAGATTCCCTTTCATGTCCCGCAGAACCACGCGTGTCCGTTCTTCTGAGAGTTTTTTCCTGGTCCTCACACAGTGTGTGGGCTTGGCATGGGCTGCGATCTTTGGCTCTGTGATTCACTGACTCACCCAAAGGGGTGGCCGACGGGTTCCTGCAGGGCAGCTGTGGCAATTCAGGGCCCATGGGCCTGGGTTCAGGGATGCTCCTCAAAGAGTGTGGCAAAGGACCCCAGGCAAAGTAGGTGTTTTTTTTTTATTTTTTAATTTTTATTTATTTATTTTGAGATGGAGTCCCTTTCTGTCGCCCAGTTTGGAGTGCAATAGCATGATCTCGACTCACTGCAACCTCCATCTCCCGGGTTCCAGCAATTCTCCTGCCTCAGCCTCCTGAGTAGCTGGGATTACAGGCACCCACCACCACGCCCAGCTAATTTTTTTATTTTTAGTAGAGATGGGGTTTCACCATGTTGTCCAGGCTGGTCTCAAACTCCTGACCTCACGTAATTCACCCGCCTTGGCCTCCCAAAGTGCTGGGATTACAGGCATGAGCCACTAGGCTCGGCCTGTTTGTTTCTTTTAAATAAATGCTTCTCAATTTATAATGTGTCTTTAGTTGATTTCCAGCATCCTAAAGTGGCTATTTTTGATGGTTTCATCCCATTTGTCATTGTCTTGGGCAGGGGATGTGCTGAGCCCCTCACTCTGCCTCCTGGGAGTCCTGCCTCCTGCATCATTTCTCTCGGACACTCAGGACAAGTCTAAGGATCACATCACTGCCCTCAGGTGCAAGTCCCTTTCCAGAGCACATGTGCTTTTAGAACACTCCGAGTTTTGCTGTGTTTTAGATCTCATTCCCTTCTTTTTCTACATTTGTTCCATTGTCTAACTAAGAGACTCAGGGCATCAGGCAAGTCATGTCAGAAAGGTTGGCTTTAGAAGCCACATCCCAGAATTCCTAAACTTAATCATGGAAGGAGGGGGCAGACTGACAACGCATTCCCTATGTCCTCTAAAGAGATTTCTCCCGTTGGGATTGCTTTATCCCCAGAGGTGTGCTGTAGAACCAGCCTGTGTTCACAGTAAATCTCTGCTTCCGCAACAGCGGTGAGCTCTCAGCCCTCCCTGCCCTGGTCTTGTCTCTAGGGCCTGTGGGTCTTTGTGGACTGATGGTGTGGGTGGGTTTCTGAGGGTCTGCATGGACTCATGGTGTGGATGGGTTTCTGAGGGTGTTGGTAGCAGTAACGGTTCCACATGATGAAACCCAGATGGCTGCTCCCCACTGTGCATCCACCCGGATTCACCCGCTGCTTTGCTGGCTGATGTCTACAAGGACATAGATGGCCTGCATCTGGCGGGGGCTGCAGGAAAGCTGGCAGGACATGGGGCCATTAGAAGAGGTGTGAGACTGTCATCAGCAGTAAAAAGTGGAACAGCCCAGGGAGCCCTCTTGTGAGTTTATGGCTTAAAGTCCAAGTACAACTTCGTTTGAAAGAAATGCCTTCCTCCTGAGAAAACATTGACAAGCCTGCAAGCCCTGCACCCTGCAGGTGGGCAGCTGCAGAGAAGGGGCACCCTGGTACCTGGCAGGGGGCCTCAGCCCTGGCCTGCATACAGCAGGTGTCCCTGCATTGGCTCTGAGCTTGTGCCACACAGGAGGTAGCTGTGATGCCAAGCCCTTGCTCTGAGGTTCTAATTGCTGTGGTCTTGGTGGTTCAGGGATGTTTGCGAGCTCCTGAGTGACTCCGAAGTAAAAGCAAGGCTAGGTCACCACAGAATCTAGATGACATTCTCAGCGCCTTCCTGGGAGTAAGTGGCTGCCTCGGCCACTGCTGCCTGTCTGCATGGCTGCTCTGTGGAGCCTGGCCCTCCTCCCTGATCGTCATCTCTTAGGAAATGAGGCAAGGGAGAGTGTCCCCGCCGCCGTGGAGAGCCCAGGACCTGAGCGCTCAGCTGGCCCTCCTGTGTGACCCGTGTCCTGCCTGCCGCCCAGCACCCTTCTGTCTTGTCCCTCAACCCATGGCTGGTGATTTTGGGAGGGGTCTGCCACTCCTGGCGGCTCAACAGGCTCCTCCCTCCCAGTTGGCAGATCAGTGTCACCGTGGATGAGTTTCCTTCAGATTGTTTTTCTGTATTAGACGGAGGAAACCCTTTCTTATTTTTCAGGGCTCATATAGATCATTATTTCTTTTTGCATCTCAGTAGGAATTCTGCAATTCAGTAGGGAAATGCTGGAAACTGGGAGGAGGGAAGACTCCTCACTTTGTCTGGGGAGGGGAAGTTCTCTCAGGCAGGGCATCGAGGTTGCCCCAGCAGAGGTGGGGTTGGTGGTGGGACGTGGGGGCGCATGTGGAATCTTTCACAGGGAGGGATTCAGTGCATACAGTGACATGGAAATAAATCCAAATGACTTTTTCCTTATTTTAACTATTAGTATTAAAATACATTTACTTCCAAGTTACTACCTATGAAAGAAAAAAATATATAACTAAAGAGGAAAGAAAAAAGCAGTGAGGGCGGGGTGCAGTGGCTCACGCCTGTAATCCCAGCATTTTGGGAGGCCAAGGCAAGGTTGGGAGTTTGAGACCAGCATGGCCAACATGGAGAAACCCTGTCTCTACTAAAAATACAAAATTAGCCAGGCGTGGTGGCACATGCCTGTAATCCCAGCTACTCGGGAGGCTGAGGCAGGAGAACTGCTGGAACCCGGGAGGTGGAGGTTGTGGTGAGCCGAGATTGCGGCATTGCACTCCAGCCTGGGCAACAAGAGTGAAACTCTGTCTCAAAAAAAAAAAAAAATTAAATTAAATAAAGCAGTGAGAATGAGACAAGTCCAGGTGTCATGTTACCTCAATGCATTTGAACGGTTCAACTTTCCTGTTAAAAGACAGGCACAAGAGCTGCTCTGATCCACATAACGCAGGTGAATGTGAGGATAACTACACTCAGTGAAAGAAGCTTGACATGAATGAGTCTAAACTCTGATTTCACGCATGCAAAATTCTAGGTGTGTGAAGTACTCTGTGGTGACGTGAAGCAGATGCGTGGCCTTCAGCTTTTAGGAGGATGGAGTCAGGGTGCCTTCCCTGTCCTCCCCACCAGGCATGACAAAGGTGCTGGGTATTTTATATAAAACATGCATAAAAGATTCTGAAAGGTGGGAAGAAGAAGGCCAGCCAGCCACATACCTCAGGACCCATGGGACGACATGGTGGTGAGTTCCCTGGGTCATTTGTTCCAGATGGGGCACTGGACAAGTCAGAAAACTGGAAACGCCAGTGGGTACAGGCAAAAAGCAAACAAGAAAATAAAATTCTAACAAACTCTGTTCTCTCTAACCAGAGGAGGAGGAAAGGGGCAGCCTAGCCGGACAGAACAAAACGTGCTCTGCCTTGGCCAGACCTCCCCAAAACTGTGGCCACAGCCTCCCCCGAGTCAGGAAAGGCCAAGTGGAGAGTTGAGGCTTCTGCTTGTACCCACCCGTGTCAAGGTGCTCCAGTCCACACCATGGGGGCATCAAGGAGGCTGACAGGGACACGTACTCCCAGCTGAGCCAGGGAGCATCAGGGAGGCTGATGGGGACATGTACTCCCAGCTGAGCCAGGCTCTCAAGAGCGCTCCCCACTCCCGCGTCCCTGGGGACCACACGGGGACTGGAGCTCCCTACCTGCTCAGGATCTCCTTCCCATTTGGGCATCAGCTGAGGGACAAGGAGCCCTTCCCATCTGGGCATCAGCTGAGGCCAGGGGCGGAACCTAGATGCCTCTTCTAACCTGGCGGCAATGAGGCAGCACACCTCTGCCCCCGCTGCGATGGTGTCGGAGGAGGCCGGTGAAAATGAGATAAAAGAAGATCTGGACATGATCATCACGTCACATCACATGGCCAGGTTTCAACTGCAGGTCCTCACACACGCCAAGAACCAGGAAGACTCCAGTTCAGCTGACAAAAGGCAATCGACAGACACCAACACCAACACCCAGATGACATGGGCACCGAAGTTACCCAACAGGGCTTTTAAAAAAGACATCATAAAGATGCTTCAGTGAGCCGTCACCAGCTCTACACAGTGAGGAAGTGGAAAGTCTCAGCCAAGCGAAGACGGAGGGCCAACCAAGTCGAGGTTTCAGAACTGAAAGTACAGCCACCAGAATTTAGAAATTCACATTGTACACTGTGATGTATGCAGTTTTATGTACATCAGTTACATCTCAGCCAAGCTGTTAATAAGCAGAACTCAGGGTCCCAGGGAAGTCCAAGGACTCACTCTTCATGAGACCTCAATTAAAAGACCCAGAAAGTTTAAAATGAAAGAGATGGAGGAGTTGCCAGATTCATACCAACAGGAGAAAGAAAATTTGGAACTAACCTGGCCAGGAAAGTGGGCTGAGACTTTGTGCTGCTGGTGCTGCTGTCTGGGAAGGAGGCAGAGCAGCTCTGAGGGGCTTGGGGAGGCTGTAGTAATGAAAGGTCCTCAGATGCCAGTGGCTGATACATAGACAAGTTTATTTCCTGTTCACCTGTGTCAGCTGTGGCTCTTGTCTTCAACCCCTTCCCAAGCAACTAGTGCAGTCCCCATCTGGAGTGTCGTTGGTGTTGGAGCAGAGCAGTGAGAGCACAGACAACCACCCGCAGGACGGGAGTTATTCTTCCCACAAGAGACGCCAACTGGCCAAGACTTCAGGGGGTGGGAAGTGTAGGCCTCTCCCAGGGACAGGCAGTGAATATGCATGAGCAGTAATTCAGTCACCATCATTTGCCCTTCTGGTCACAAATATTTGCTTCCCAGCTTTCCCCATGCAAAATAAACCCTACCCAAGGAAGATGGCCCCAAAGTCTGGTCCCTTCATGGCACCAGGCTTAATGCCCAGACTCTTAATACGGTGAGTTACTCTCGCTCTGGATCTGCCCCCTCGTGCTCTGGAAACCTGAGCCGAGAAGCTGCCCACTGCCCTCCCACCCCAGTATACATGGGTGGGATCAGTTCGCAACAACTTGAACCAGCCGCACTTTCCAGTGGAGCTGAAATGGGAAATGCTGGGCACTCCTGCAGCCCAGCCCTGCTGAAAGTCTGCTGGGCACATGCAGGAGCCTCCCCGCAGGCTGGGAGTCCCTCCCGTCCTCCATCCCTGTCATTCCTGTATCCTCTGGAGCAGGTGCCGGCATTTCCATGAAAGGCGGATGGTAAATACTCAGGCTGGGTGGGCTCTGTGCTGTGTGTCCGTTGTGTGCAACTCAAAGGTGCCTGCTCGGCTTTCCTCCTTGGCCACAGGGAAGTGGGCCTGGGAGAGTGTGTGTCCCTGGAGGCAGAGTGGCCTCTCCGCCCCGCAGCCCGTCGCACGCTTGACTTCTGGTCCCTCAGGAGGCAGCCTGCTCTGAGTACCCACGGTCATGCCCAGGCTCCTTTGGGGGCTGGATGGAGGAGCTCCACCTCTGTCCCCGTGCCCCCTAGCAGCTCTGCCCAACTGGAAGCCTTGTGCCAGCGGTGTGGACAGAAGGTGTTGTGTCTGACTTGTGTCTTCCCACATTTCACAGGTCGAACTTACCAGGTGAAGCTGGATTACTTCCCGGCCTCCTTATAATGGAAAGAGCTAGTGTAGGAGCTGGGACAGGGATGGAAGGGCCATTGGCCGAGTTTGAGATGGCATTTCACAACTCCAGGGTGCCACGGTTTCACAACTCCAGAGCAGGGGTATAAGCCTGTCCTCTGCTGCTCTGGGCCAGGGCTCTGGATGGGCCCCACGTGGTGGGGGCCTTCAGATTCTCTGAGATTCAAAGCTCTTTGGAGAGAGGACACTTTGCTGGGGAGAAGGTGCGTGGTCCATTTCTCCAGGAGTCCGTGGCTTCTGCAATTGTGAGCTGCTGTCCTCATCGAACACCCTCAGCACACTGGCATAGCTCCCTGCACAGGGAGCCCGGGACCAGGCAGAGGGTGCTGGGCAGAACCCCTTCCCGCTGGGCCTCTCTTTGGCATTCCTCCTCTCTCTCCTCGGCATTCCTTCTCTGGGCCTGGCTTTAGAGTGTCCCAGTGTCTCTTGCAGTGTTTTCTGAACATTTTGTGGCCTAGCGGTACCAGGACGGTTCTTTTAGACACTCGTAAGAAGCCAAGCCACAGGAAGCTACTTTCCTTGTGCAAATCCTGGGTTACTGGGTTTCCTCACCCCAGACCCCACCTGAAGAGCAAAGTTCTGAAGGACAAGTGGCTGTTAATGCCGTGCAGCTGGCTACACCCGGTGCGAAGGGAATCCCCGCTGTTCCTCCACAGGCTGCCCAGGCACCCTGCAGGGCCCTCCCCACCTGCCCCCCAGGCTCATACATTTGTCCCACTTGAAGCGGGGAGGCCTGGTTCCCCTGACATTCTGCTGCCAGGAAGATGCAGCTCTAGGGCAGTGCAGGCATGTTCTTCAAGTGGGCCCTCATCCTGGCAATCTCACCATGCCATGGCAACTGCCAGTAACCTCAGCTTTCACCCACCAGCCTGAGACCAGCTTCTGCTGCCCTGCTGCGATCGCTGTGGTCTCCACCTTAGTTTGGGGCCTGCCTGCTCAGCAGGGTAGTGGCCTCCCTGGGCCTCCAAGAGCCATGTTTCCCTAGGCAAGTAGGAGGCTGTGGCCCCAAGGGGATGGAGGAAGCCTTCCCCTGACCCTTTTGGGGGCATGCAGTACATGTGGGCCCTGCAACCCTAGACCAGTCTCCAGGCAGGGCAAATGGCCCCTCTGTGCCCCATAGCCTCGTCCTAACATACGTGCAAATGTGCACTGTGGAGACCACTCCTGCCCCTACCCTGGGAGCCTGAGCCCCACCAACGGCACTGGCTCTGCAGGGAGCCCCTCTTTCCTGCACAGTGCAGGCATCTCCTCTTAGGCCGCTCCTCTGAGCCCCTCCATGGGAGGATCGTGAACACATAGCCTTTCAGAGGCCTCTATAATGCGCCGAGCAGTTGTGTCACTGAACGTGAAGAGGAGACCTGCCAGACTATGGACAGCAGGCTCGCTGGGAGAGCAGGGTGGAGTGAGGCCACTGACGCGGGAGCCCTGCTGTGGGGGGTGTGTGCGCATGCTCAGCACAGCCTAGGGCAGGGCTTCTAGTGCAGGCAGCGCAGCACCTGGCTCTGGAGGCCAGTGAAGGGAGGGAAGAAAGCCTGGACCAGGAGGACACCAAGGACTGCCCCTGGGACAGCAGCCGCCCCTTTCCACCCCTTCCCCACTGCCTGGGTTGGTGAAATGGTAGAAGCTCTTCTCTAATTAAATGCTCATCCTTACGTAAATCATAGCTTTAATAAATTAATCAATGGTTTGGGAATTGGGTATACGAACATTTATAAGCCAGTATTATGATGCCGAAAATGTTTCATGATGAGGCCTTCCCAGAAAGGCGGGGAATCGAGAGTGACGTAGTCACCCTCCACCTTTGTCCCTGCTGTCTATGAAGAAGGAGTGCTGTGCCCTCTGCCCTCCTCTCCCGGGCTCTTGGCAGCTTCCCGGCCGGCAGCAGTCCCCACGCTGCCCAGGCGGAGCAGCCCCTCTGCCCCCCACTCTGGAGCTGAAGCCAGTTTTCTCAACGAGTGTCTCTGGAGTCTGTCCTGCCCTCCTGCTGGCTTGTTCTTCTCTCCTGGCCTCAAGGAAAGGCCTCCTGACTTGCCTCCCTGCAGCTGGCTCTGCTCCGAGGGCCCTGATCACAGGCTCACTGAGGTGTCTGTCCAGGCCATGAGGCTGGCTAGCTCCAGGCAGATCCTCCGCTCACTCCTCGGGGCGGCGCCGGCTGTCTCTACAAAAAAATATAAAAATTAGCTGGGTGTGTGGCATGCGCCTGTAATCCAGACTACCTAGCAGGCTGAGGTGGGAGGATCGCTTGAGCCCAGGAGGTGCAGGTTGGAGTGAGCCAAGATCACGCCACTGCTGTCCAGCCAGGGCAACAGAGTTAGATGCTGTCTCAAAAAAAAAAAAAAAAAAAAAATCAAAACTGATAAACAACTTAGGGAATTAATGGAAGAAAACATGAAAATTTGATGTGCATATAGATGGTGAGGTCTGTTGTTGAAAGTTTGGTTCTCAGCAGGATTTTCTAAAGAATTTCATAGCTTTTCAACCTGAATTGTGCTGTATTCCATACACTGGAAAGCACTGCACTGGTCATGTTACTGGAAGGGGGTCCCGATCCAGACTCCGAGAGAGGGGTCTTGAATCTCACACAAGAAAGAATTCAGGGCAAGTCCATAAAGTGAAAGCAAGTTAGTTAGTTAGTTTGTTTATTTTAGACAGAGTTTCGCTCTGTCGCCCAGGCTGGAGTGCAGTGGCGCAAATGTGGCTCACTGCAACTTCCACCTCCCGGGTTCAAGTGATTCTCCTGCCTCAGCCTCCTGAGTAGCTGGGATTACAGGCATGTGCCAGGATGCCTGGCTAATTTTTGTATTTTTAGTAGAGACAGGATTTCATAATGTTGGCCAGGATGGTCTCGAATTCCTGACCTCATGTGATCCTACCACCTCGGCCTCCCAAAGTGCTGGAATTACAGGTGTGAGCCACCGCAGCCAGCCAAAGCAAGTAGATTAAGAAGGTAAAGGGATAAAGAATGGCTACTTCATACGCAGAGCAGCCCCGAGGGCTGCTGGTGCCCATTTTTATGGTTCTTGATTGTATACTAAACAAAGGGGGGATTATTCATGAGTGTTCTGGGAAAGGCATGCGCAATTCCTGGAGCTGAGGGGATTTTACACCATACGGTAACTTCCTGATGTTGCCATGGCATTTGTAAACTGTTATGGTGCTGGTGAGAGTGTAGCAGTGAGGACGACCAGAGGTCACGCTCATCTCCATCTTAGTTTTGGTGGGGTTTGGCCAACTTTTTTACTGCAACCTGTTTTATCAGCAGGGTCTTTATGACCCTGTATCTTGTGCTGACCTCCTATCTCATCCCAAGACTTAGAATGCTTAACCATCTGGGAATGCAGCCCAACAGGTCTCAGCCTTATTTTACCCAGCCCTTACTCAAGATGTAGTCACTCTGCCAAACGCCTCTGAGTGTCAGAACTTCAGCTTTGGGAAATTGACCATTCTCAGCTGTGCAGCCACCCCGGGACCCCACACCTACATCATGTTGACAATAAGTCCCACCCCCGTGGCCCCGTGCTGACCTCGTGTTCTCCAGTGAGTGAGTCGTGGCTTCCTCCTGACATTGAGCACTCCTGGGAGCAAGAGAAGAAACAAATTTGGCAGATGGAGCTTAACAAATGCAGCTGTATTAGTTCGTTTTCACACTGCTATAAAGACATACCCAAGATTGGGTAATTTATAAAGGAAAGAGGTTTAATTGACTCATAGTTCCACATGGCTGGGGAGGCCTCAGGAAACTTAGAATCATGACAGAAGCCAAAGGGGAAGCAAGCACCTTCTTCACAAGGCGGCAGGAGAGAGAAGTGTGGGCGAAGGAGGAACTTGCCAGACAAAACCATCAGATCTCGTGAGAACTCGCTATCATGAGAACGGTATGGTGGAAACTGCCCCCATGATCCAATCACCTCCCGCCAGGTCCCTCAACACGTGGGGATTGTGGGAATTACAATTCAAGATGAGATTTGGGTGGAGACACAGCCAAACCATATCAGCAGCCAGCGAGGCTCTCTGTGGGCAGCTGTGGGCACACCCAAGGGAAGGAGTGGGCACCCCCATCCAGCAGACGGAGACACGGCCTCAGGCCATGGGCAGGCAGGAGATACCCCCACCTCGCGGTTATTAAATAACTATGTTACATAGTAACTGTGGGGCAGTAGGGCTTTCATTCATCAATATGTAGCATTTTTATGTTCACAGTTTTGGACTTTGCTTGCGGGTTACTTAATGCCATCAGATGGAAAGCTGAGAGAAAGCCTGTGGCCCCCCAGGCATCTCTGTAAAGAAGGCAATGCCAAGCTGAGGGTTGCTTCCCAGGCCTCACAACAGCACAACCTTAGAACCTAAAAAATCCAGCATGCTACTTGTGCATGCCAGGCTCAGAACTTTCCCACGTTGGCCCCTGGCAGCTTATTCACAAAGACTGTCTGGTTCCAGCCAACTGCCGAGGTGCTGCCCATGTCAGGAGAGTGGGTGGAGGAGGGGAGAAGGGCTTCTCAGGACA
Organism: Homo sapiens; assembly: GCF_000001405.40. Lineage (NCBI taxonomy): Eukaryota > Metazoa > Chordata > Mammalia > Primates > Hominidae > Homo > Homo sapiens. The sequence continues at coordinate 45,833,588 of NC_000021.9, forward strand.
GAGGGTGTTTCTGCTTCACCAGGATTCCAGACACGGGCCACCCCCCTGAGCACGACTGGATGGTGCCCAGGCCTAGTGTATGCGCCCATGAATGTGAGTGGCCAGTGCCAGTGGCAGAGGCCAGGCCTAAGGGGCTAAGAGCTCTGGAAGGATTGTCTGTTTCTGGGCAGACCACAGGTGGCTGCTGTGGCCCCATGCAGGGCAGGGTCACGGAGGGACCACCTTGCTGGGAGGAGCTTGCAGTCCTGCCTGCCTGGGCAGGAGCTCAGGGAACACCTGACTCCCTTTTAAAGTCATAAAATCATATTTGAATATGAAATCTTCTGTTTTTTTAAATGTTGGAAACAAATTTGGACCATGTTGGCGATTGACTCACCTGTGCTTGTCACCACCTCTGAGGATGGCGTGGATGTTATCTGGTCACCAGAAGGAAAGCCAAGCACAGGGAAGGCTGGGGGCTGAGCCAGGACATGTCCTGGGTAGGGAAGGGAGGAGCTGGGCTGGCCAGCACCCCCACAGGCTGAGACTGCCACCGATTCACGAGTCCACGGGGCCCAGGAGTCTGGGTCTACGTGGAAGTTGTCAAGGGCCCAGACTCCAAGCAAGGCCAGGCCAAGCAGGCCTCTCAGGAAGATGCCGCACAGTGCCTGGAGCCCGGCTGGCAGCTTCTTTTCCTGGCAGTGTCGTGTCCTGTCACCAGCCGTCAGAGCGCCCTCCGACCAGGGCGCGTGTTAGAGCAGGGACTGGAAGTTGTGAATGAATGACTAAATGCTTTCCTAGAGGCTGACCGAAATTTGTGATTAGCTAGGATGTCCATTTCCAAGGCACAGCATGTGCTGTGACTGTCTAGGGGTGGCGTCCCCATGCAGCTTGTGCTTTGGGAGGGGCCAGCTGCCTCCTCGCCACTGCCCAGCATAGCTTGTCCCCGTGCCCGCCAAAGAGGTCCTCGTGCTGGCCTCACAACAGAAGACGGCCACAGCCCTGCTCTCCCCAGGCCACCACGTCCACGAGTGCTGCACTGTGAGGGTGCAGCCCAGCGCCTCAGAGGCAGCAGCACCTGTGAGATGGCGTGCAGATGGAAGTAGGCCAATAGACTCCAAAGGAAGCACCACTGAAAAATCAGAGGCGTCTCTCAGAGGGGGCCCACGAGGGAGGTGGTATGAAAGGTTTTTAAAAGGACAAAGCAGACTTCGGAGCTGCCTCTAGAGGAGAGCAGCAGGTGAGTTCCGAGTTCACCTGGCACGCTTTTCGGCAGAGCCCAGGAATGCCCACTTCTGAGCGCTGAGTGCACAACCCAGCTCGGGAGGCCTGCGGCAGCAGGAATGGGGAGGCACCGTGAGTCCCTCAAAGCGCTGCTGGAAATGTCACTCTGCGCGGTGTCCACCCGTGCTCGGGGTGGGCAGCGCCACTGAATGACGCGGGCAGCTTGGGAGGCCGGTTCGCGAACGCCGCAGCAGCCTCTGCTGACACGGGGGCTGCTCCCCACTCACAGAGCCACAGGTTCCTGTGGGTTCATTTATGAGGATGTAGGAATCATAGGAGTTAGGTACATCTTTTCCTGAGGTGAGAGCCAGATGAGGGGAGCCAAGACAGAGAATAGCCCACGTCTGCCCTGGGCCCCGGGGGCGGGGCCTACACAGGCTCCCAGGAGTGTGGGTGGGGCCTGTTTAAACTTCATGCCCCGGGACCTGCCTGGGAGCCTCCTGCACAAGACTCGCCCCACTCCGGAGGCTTAGCAGCACCGGAGCTGCTCTGTGGCCTGTTGGCAGAGAGGAGTCTGGTGCTCCTGTGCACGGGGGTCACAGCAAAGCCAAGTGGCCGTAGCACCTTTAACACTGGCCCCGGGTCTCTACACCTCCCTGCCGGCCGTCAGCTCCTGGCCGCAGCCGGCACTGACCTGGAGCACCTTAAGGAGCCCCTCTGCAAGTCCCTGTGCATCTGAGAGGTCAGAGAGGCAGAAACACAGTTCCAGGGTTCAAACCTAATATGCCTCAGCATTCTGGGCACTCACATGGTGTGCTGGGCCTGTCCTGCCACATGGCCCCTGCGTGAGGAAGACAGAGCCTGGGCGTGGCCCCACATCCCTGTGAGCTGCCCATGGGCCTGGACCCTGGCTCTGGCAGACTAGGCTGCATAGCAGATCAGCTTCTCCTGAGCCATTTTCATCCAGGCCACACCTGCCAGCTTGGGCCAGGGACAGGCAGACCCTGGGCCCAGGGTCTTGAGCTTGACCCGCAGGAGGTCTGGGCCTTATGCCCTGGGGAGAGGAGAGCGCAGAAAGCCAGTGTCACGGCAGCCCCAGGGGAACAGGCCCCAGGCCTGGCGGGGTCTGGATCTCAGTTCCACAGGGGAAGCTGTGGCCGCAGGCATGGTAACCTCACCAAACAAAAAGCTGCCCATCTTTCAGAATATGAGCAAGAAGTTTGTGAGTCCTTGATCACCAGAGGGGCAACGTGGGGCCCGAGATGACAAGGAGTCCAGGCCACCCACAGTAGCTCCTCCTTCAGCCTTACAGAGGGGCTGCCTGGTCTGCTTTCCTGGCCGTGGGTTGCCCCTCTCTGGGGGCCGATGTCAGCAGACCTGTGGGGGATACAAACAGAAGGAACCTTGGACCCCTTCCTGGTACCTCCTTACTCATCTGATTCAAACCCTCCCAATTCTGCCTCCAAAGTGGACCCTGACTCTCCCCAGTCCTTACCGTCCAGTCTCCAAGACCAGTCCACCCAGGGAGCGGCCAGAAGACAGCCCACCTGCGCCAGGCCTGTGTGTGCCTTTCCTGGCATCTGGAATGGGGTTTGGTGCTTGCTGCCTGTAGCCAGGCCTGCTGGTCATGCCTTCCTGCCCTGCTGGGCCTCATCTCCGTGACAACGTCTTGGCCTTCCTGCCATCCTTTGTAAGTGCTGCCTGGTCTGGGATCACGTGTGCCGGCTCCTCTGCTTGCAGTACTTGGCTGCACTTCCCAGTATATTCGTTAAAATGTTGTGACATGAGAATTAGCATATGACACGTACGTAACGTGAGCTGCGGAGCATAGCTTTCTCATGAACAGCCGTGACCCCAGGACCAGGCTAAGCGAGATGACCCATGCTGCCGTGGGTGCTTCCTCTTCTTTACCGTGATCCTGCATTTTGTTTTCTCATCTCTTCTCTTTAAAATAATTTTATTTTATTACACATGATTGCTTGTTTCTGAACTCTTAGAAAGTGACATCAGTCCCTACATAGACTTCCCAAACCTGTTCTGTTTAGTCACACACAAGGTGTCTTAGGTTGGTATGTGTTTCTGGGCAGAGCTGCAGTTTGTGTGCCTGGCTGCATAGTGTTCCAGTGTGTGAATAGGCATCATTTATTTGTTTTTCCAGCAGGGTCATGCGGCTCGCTTGCCATTGTGAGTGATGCTTCCGTGGACATTCCTGTGTGTTTCTTTTGGTGCACACATGAGGTGTTTTTGGTTTAAGGAAGTGGAATTGCTGCATCATAAAGTCTGTGAAAGGTGAACTTTCAGGAACTTTCAGGACCATGTCAGTTTTTGTTTCAAAGCGCGGGTACCAATTCCCATCCCCCAGCAGCGTGTTAGCGCCACGGATGATCTACAGTCCACCAACATTCTGAATGTTTGCCAATGCAGTGAATGTAAATAACGTTTCACTGTGGTCTGTATCTCCCGTTCCACATGCTCTTGTGCTGTGACTTTGATGCACCTCCCGCCAGGGAGGGGATCGTGACCCTCCCTTTAATCTGGGCAGGCATGTGCCTCCAGCGGAAATGATGTTATGTGACATCTGTGTGCAAGCCACAGGCAGCAGCACAGCGCTGCAGAGCTCCCAGGATGCTGGCTCTTGGAGCCTAGGGATGGCGCTGTGAGAACAGGCCACGGCGCCCTAGCTTCAGGTTATAGGGCATGGCTACGTGCCTGTGGAAATTCTCCTGCGGGCGGTTTCATGTCGAAGGCCTACCTGTAGCCCTGGGTTGTCTGCCTCTTGGGGGTAGCGGCTGTGTGGAATGCCTGCGTTCTGGATTTGGCTGGCTGCCTCCTCTGGCATGGTGCAGAGCCCACCTGCAACCCCATATTTGCCCTGGTAGGTCTGAGGTGCGATTCCACTCAGATTTATTTTTCCTGTGAGGCGAGCGAGCTTCCTAGGTGGCACTGCACGTTGCACCGCATGGCATGATGAGGCGTGTGGTCTGGCCGCTCCTTCACTGGTGCTGAGACTGAGGATTGAGCTTAGGGGGTCAGCCTGATCCGCCACTGCTGGGTTCCCCACCAGCCTTGCAGCTTGCTGTCAATATTCATTGATGGTCATTGCCTGGATGCAGTACACATTAGGGGCTGCAGAACGGTGATTTTCTAATTGTGTTGTTCTTTCTGTACTTATTAGTTGGGATTCATCTATGTGGAATAACGTTTGCCTCATCCACTAGGGCTGTTTGGTTACCTAAACTATGGTTCATGCCAGAAAGGCAGGATAGATGCTTCATTCTTTGCACTCAGTTGTTCTCACTGCGATGAGTTGGTTTCTGGAAGCCCCAGTGTTGTCCTGTGAATTTGTGTCTTTCCCTGCTTTTCTCTCCCTGTGAAGCATCATTGTTAACTGGTGGATGTTATACACACAGTGGAGTTTGGCCAGTGCAGCTGCCATTTCTTTACTCAAACTGTTCTGTAGTTTTTGGGCTCCCCTCGCTTTCTGATGTAACCACATCAGTCTTGGATGGCTTTATTGCCTTCTGTCGTATGTGTTCCCACCTTACCTTTTATATTTTCTTCCACAGACCACCTGGAATCAAACTCTTTTGGGAGACCTGTTTTTGTTCTAATAATAATAATAATAATACTATTTGGGAAGTAGTATTTAGAGACCACAGCGTGAGTATTAGGAGTGCTTATTGCAATTGGGTTGTCATTGATTTTTTATAATTTAGTGAACAGAAATAAGAAATGTTTGTAATTTTAAAAGAAGAGAAAATTAAGATAAATATTTTTAAATCATATTTAAGATTACATTATTTTAACTTAAAAATTTAAAACTTATACTAGTTTTTCTTTTCTCTCATCATTACCATGATTACTTATTTGTTTTAGCCTAAGTAAATATATAACAGGTTTGGAGAATAATACCAATATTATGATTAATGACTAAATTTAGAGCAATATATTTCTTTGCACTTTTTTCTGTCTGTATAATATATTCCCTTGAGGATATGCAGTCAGATTCCTGTGTTTTAAGGTCAGTGCCTACAGTCCTTCTCTCTGTGGTTATAGCTTCAACTGAAATTCCTGCATTTGATTATGTAAAATACAAACATTTACATGATTCTAAAGTCAAAATTATTGCAAGGGCTATTCACAAAAGTCTCACTTTCCTCCCTTTCTCTCCATTCAGTTCCCTTCCTTCTCCTGTAAGTAGCTTTTAAGTTTTTTAATCTTTCCATTTTTTCTTTTCGAAAACATGAACAAATGTGTGCATACATGAATTCTTCAACTTAGTAAACTTTTCCTCCATGTTCATATTTCTTTTCACTTTTAGGAAGGTTTGTATTTTTTTTCTTGGCTTTATATTATCACTCTCTATATAATTCACATAAACCCCTCTTTTTACATAATTTCTATTGACTTACTGTTATAAGCAGTATTAAAATTAGCCAGAAGTCTCTTCTTCCTCCTCTCCCACTCCTAATTTTTGTTTGTTCTCCCACCTCTTCCTCCCATTTCATTAGTGTATTAACTTTATTTTAAGCACATTTAATGGTTACATATTATCCTGTCACCCTTAACTCCATCATTTAGTCCTAGTTCAGTAGTTAAATGTGTTTGACACTTACCACCATACCTTATGACAAAGCTTCTCCAATTATTTCGTGGTTGGCCCAACCCCATTTTATATTATGTTCTTCAGGATGGGCTCATCAGAAAAATATTTCCTGTGTTCTTGTGGAGTCATATCTTTTTATCTGTAGCCTTCACAGGAGAAAGGTAATTTGGCTTCATAAAATCCTTGGTTCACATTTTTCTCTTTAGTATCTTAAATATGTTGCTTTACGCCATGGTGATTCTGACTGTGTATAGGCCTACGCTAATGTGTGTGTTTATGTCTTAGTGTTGTTGTTGTTGTTTTTGAGATGGAGTCTCTCTCACTTTGTTGCCCAGGCTGGAGGGCAGTGGTACGAACTCGGCTCACTGCAGCCTCCGCTTCCCAGGTTCAAGCAGTTCTCCTGCCTCAGCCTCCCGAGTAGCTGGGATTGCAGGCGCCCGCCACCACACCTGGCTAATTTTTGTACTTTCAGTAGAGACGGGGTTTCACCATGTTGGTCAGCCTGGTCTCAAACTCCTGACCTCAAGTGATCCACCTGCCTCGGCCTCCCAAAGTGCTGGGATTACAGACATGAGCCACCACGCCTACCCCTGTGTCTTAGTTTTCAACCAAAAGTTTAAAAATAAAAGTATAACAATTTTAAGAATAGAAAGAAGCTTATAAAATAAAGATATAAAGAAAATATTTTGTGGTGCTGTACAATTTGTGTGTGTGTGTTTTAAGCTAAGTACTATAAAAAAATTTAAAAGTTTATAGAGTAAAAATGTTACAGTAGGCTGGGCACGGTGGCTCACTCCTGTAATCCCAGCACTTTGGGAGGCCGAGGTGGGCAGATCACAAGGTCAGGAGATCAAGACCATCGTGGCTAACATGGTGAAACCCTGTCTCTACTAAAAAAAAATTTTAAAAAATTAGCCAGGCATGGTGGCGGGCGCCTGTAGTCCCAGCTACTCAGGAGGCTGAGGCAGGAGAATGGTGTGAACCCGGGAGGCGGAGCTCGCAGTGAGCTGAGATTGCGCCACTGCACTCCAGCCTGGGTGACAGAGCGGGACCCTGTCTCAAAAAAAAAAAAAAAAAAAAGTTACAGTAAACTAATTTAATTTATTGAAGAAAGAAAAATATTTTCATAAAATTAGGATAACTTAAGTGTACAGTATCTCTAAAGTCTACAGTAGTCATCCTGTCCCAAGCCTTCATATTTACTCACCACTCACTCATGGACTCACCAGAGCAACTTCCAGTCCTGTGAGCTCCATTCATAATAAGTGCCCTAGACAGGTGTGCCATTTTATTATCGGCTCACTGCAGCCTTGACCTCCTGAGCTCAAGTGGTCTTCCCACCTTAGCTTCCTGAATAGCTGGCATGTGCCACCATGCCTGGCTAATTTTAAATTTTTTTGTAGCGCTGAGGTCTCCCTACATTCCCTAGGCTGGTCTCAAACTCCTAGGCTCAGCTGATCCTCCTGCCTCAGCTTTCCAAAGTGCTGGGATTACAGATGTGAGCCACTGCACCCGGCCTTTTAAAATCTCTTATACCATATTTCACTGTACCTTTTCTATGTTGTTTAGGTATGTTTAGATACACAAATACATAGAACTGTGTCACAGTTGCCTACAGTATTCAGTACAGTCATGTGTTGTGTACCGCTTTGTAGCCTAGGAGCAATAGGCTATACCATCTAGCCTGGGTGTGTCAGCTCTCTCACCTAGGTTTGGGTAAGTATATTCTACGATATTTGCACAGTGATGAAATCACCTAAAAGTGCATTTCTCAGAACGTATTCTCGTCATTAACGCAGGACTGTGTGTCTCCCCACGCTCTTGGAAGATGCAGCAGGAATCGCGGTTGTATGTATGTTGGATCTCTTTTGCCTGTCTTTTTGTCTGTCATGTTCTCCTGAACCTTTTTTACCTCTCTTTCTGTTTAATTATTTTCATTCTCTTCTTTCTGTTTTATTCCTGTGCCTTCTGTGATGTCTCCTTACTCTTACATTTCTTCTACTTTTCATTTCTGAAAAAAAAAATCTAGTTGGTTCGTGAGTTCTGTCAATAGTAAAATGTCTTCCTGTTTTCTTGCCATTCCACTTCTGAGATGTTCTAATACTATTTTAAATTATGTTCTTCTAAAATGATGGTTATTTTCTCAATTTTTAGTTCAGTTTCACATATTACGCTATGAGTTTCGTTTTCTTTGTGTCCATAGTTTTTTGGTATATTTTCATTATCTGCTAGTGTGTTATTTATCATACTTTTACTTCTTTTTGGTAGTGTTCTCATACGGGATTTGATCATAATTCTTTGTGTCCCATTTTTAAATAAGAGTCTTCCTGGACTATTAGGAGAAAGTTTTCTGTAGAGGAATTGGGAATGAGCCAAAGTAGCATTCCTAGCCTCAGCAACCAAGAGGTCTCTCTGTTATTACGGTGAAATATGTTTGAGGCCTGTGTGTGTGGACACTTCTGTCTCTAGAAATCACTTCCAACTCAGGAGGGCTCCCTTCCCTGACTCTGTTGTCTAGAGACGCACAGCCTCTCACTCTCCACGCTGAGCTGTTTGTTGCCTTCAATCACTGCCCTTTGTCACCAGTATGTGCTGGGGCTCACCTCCTCTGGATCTCTCTTTCTCTAGCACTTTCAATACAAAAATACCTCGTGTTCCAGGCTAGCTGAATTTGTGTTTTGCTTTGGGCAGTTTTCTTCCAGGCGATTCTCTGTGCAGAAGTGAATCTTCATTGTGTATTTCTGAGATACTTGAGGACTTAGGCCCTTCAGTATGGCTTAAATTTCCAGTGAACTCCTTAATAGTTCTTTTTTGTTGTGTTGTGTTGTGTTTTCTTGTTGCTTTCCTGGAACTTGGAGACTACAAGTACGATTTGGAGTTTCTCCATTTGCTCTCAGGATATTCACCTAGATTCCCACTTGGTGTGAGAAATCATAAATTCAATTGCTTTAATTGTTGTAGGGATATTGAGATTGTCTGTTTCATTTTTTATTTTGTTTGTTTGTTTGTTTGTTCGTTCTCCATATCGCCTACTTATTTGTTCAGGCTTTTTTGGAAACTTGGTTTGAGCCTGTCTATAGAAAGCTCAGTGAAGCTGCTTTAAAATCCTGGTAAGGGAATTCTAGCATCTCTGTTATCTCAGTGTTGGCCTCTGTTGATTTTCTTTTCTCTTTCATGTTGAGGTATGCCTAATGTTTGGCACGACACATAATTTTTGTTTGTGTCCTGGAAGTATAGGTTATTATGTTATGATAGTCTGAATCTTACATCAATCTTCTGTTTCGGCCTCTGTTGACACCATGGGGAAGGGATGTCTTGTTACCAGCAAGCTAGGGTGGAGATCCAGGCTCCTCCCTGGATCCTGGGGACACCACCGGTGGGGAGAAGGGTGCTTGGTACTGCTGGGTGGGAGTGGAAGCCGAGGCTCTCAGCTCAGCCCCTCTGACCGGGCAGGGTGCTGTGTGCGTCCTGTCCTGTGCATGGAGCAGGGCAGGTATTCTCAGATGCTTTCTGACCTAATAGGTTCCTCCTTTCCCATCCCTTTCCCTAGAGAGAATTTTCTTGAGACTGTTTTTTTCCAGTGTGTATCCTTTGGCATTTTTCAGTTGCTTTTCCAGTGCCCTGTCTGAAATATAGAGGAGGAAGCACAAACAAAACGAACAAACAAATAAGAAACCCAAAGAATAGCGAACTCACCGCTGTGTCATTCTCCAAATCCCAAGGGCCCAGCCAGTCCCCCTTCTTCCCTCCAGCTTTCAGGGTTCTCTTCTGTTTGTTCCACATGTAATGTCCAGAGTTGTTGGCTGTGCTCAGCAGGAAGAATAGGGAGAGAGGTGTCTATTCCATCCTGTCCAGAACCAGAAGGCATGGCTTCCTTTACGTGACTACTATCCCCTGTGCCTTCGCAGTTGTTTTTCTTGATTAATCTCATCAGAGGGTTGTATATTATTTAGACTTTAAGAACCAAATTTTATATTTACTGATCTTCTCAGTTGCCTTTGTTTCTTTGCTTAACTTCTGAACTTTTCTTTATTATTACCTTTCCACTTTCTGTGGATACTTTCTGTTCTTTTTCTAACTTTTTAAATGGGATTCGTGACTCACTAATTTTGTGTTTCTTTACTCCTTTTAAAAGCTATAAACTTTACTGTGAGTTCTGTTGCAGCTGTTTGCTACAAATTTTGGCATGCAATAATTTTATTATTGTTGAGGTCTGTTTTCTGATCTCATCTATTTCTTATCTGGAAACATTTAAAAAGTGTTTTGTCCAAGGGAATTGTAAAGTTATCTTTTGCTAATGATATTTAATTGCCTACTGAGTAGGAGATATGTTCTGTGGACTCCATGTTTTCAACATTTGTTGAAACCTGCAATATGAACTAAAACGTTATCAATTTTTGTTTTGTTCTCTGAGAGCCTTAGGAGAATGTGTTACCTCTGCTTGTCAGGTACAGGGTTTTATATACACACAGACACACATACGCACTATCATGTTGTTTGTGCTGTTAATATATTCTGCATCTTTATTACTTTTGTGGGGTATACTTGTGTGAACTGTAAAGGAGAGAGGTATGTTGGCATCTCCCACCAGTTGGGCGATTTGGGGCCTGTGACCTCTGACCTCACTGCTCCTTCTTGTAGCATTCTTCCTCCATTAATGCTCGTCTCTCTCCTTGACCTTCTTTCAGTCTTTCTTCTCAGTGTTTCTACCCAAAATTGCAGGCCCCAGCTCCAGCAGTCTGGTTGCGGACAAGGCCGTGCTTGTTTTTCATTGGGCTGGTCTGTCCAGCTCCAAGGCTGCCCTTTGAGCCGGACGATTGACCCACTGCATTAGGAAATGCTTTGCCGTCTTGGTGAGAGCCCCACTTTAGGGAGGTCTTGCACACTGCTGCATGGAGCATAGACACGTTGGGTGGGAGGTGCCCCAGCACCTAAGGACTCTTATGATTGGGTGGCAGGGGTGGGTGGTGCTGCCCTGCCCTCCAGAGCCCTTCACATGGTCCAGATGTCACCCAGCGCAAGGTGAGGGAGCCCTGGGGTCACATTCTCCACCCTCCCTCCAGCATTGTTGCAGCCGCAGGACACCTGCCAGGGTAGAATTCAGCGTGGCTGGAGGATTTTGTGTGGCAGAAGTAATGGAGATGGTAGGCAGGCTGGTCTCCCCGCTCCTCTGTGAGCACTGTGTGTTGGTGCTCCCTGCCAATGGTGCTCCCCGCGGCATGGTTCCACGCGCACCACAAGGGCAGCGTGGCTTCCTCATCTTAGATGTGACAGAATGGAGATAGTTCTGGGTGTTAGCCCACAAAAGTGGCAACGTTAGGGTCCAAACTCTGGTACATATGAAACCATGGTTCTTCTTTCTTCCTCTCCAGGCAGATTCATAAGAAGAAGACTGGGTCTGAGTTTATATACATATATATAAAGTTATATATAAACTTCATATACGTATATAAAGTTATAACTTTATATACGTATATGAAGTTTATATACGTATATAAAGTTTATATATATGCTTTATTTATATATATAGTTTACATATATATATGCTTTATTTAAGGTTGAACAAAATTTTGCATTCATCAGAAGCTTCCTTTTATGAATTCTTAGACTTTTTTACTGGGTACCCCAGAGATTTAAGGTATCAGCTTGAATATCTTCTAAACTGTTCTCCCTAAAAGGACCATACCTGGATTCTCAAGGAGTCCACCTCCGGAGGGGTCACTGACAGTTCTGCTCTCTTATGCCTTTTGTTCATCTTAACCAGCCTTGGTTAGCAAGGGGCACCTGCCACCAGATGATCTCTTACCAAGTCATGGTTTCCTGTCTGAAGCGGTTTCCCTGATGCTGAGAGGCATGAGGAGAATGTTACAGAGAGACAGCATGCTGCCTTGTGATTGTCTGAGGTTTGAAACCTTCTGGTGAAGCTGAAACCATTTCTTAAGAGCCTGGCTAATGCTGTGAGCTGCTTAAGCACCCGTGTGCACATGTGTGTAAGTGTGTGCCTTTGCCATGTGTATGCATGTGAGCTGCTTAAGCACCTGTGTCCACACGTGTGAGTGTGTGCCTTCACCTGTGTATGTGTGTGTGTGAGCTGCTTAAGCACCCGCGTGTACACGTTTGTGAGTGTGTGCCTTTGCTGTGTGTATGCATGTGTGTGAGCTGCTTAAGCACCCGTGTGCACACGTGTGAGTGTGTGCCTTTGCCGTGTGTATGCATGTGTGTGAACTGCTTAAGCACCCGTGTGCACATGTGTGAGTGTGTGCCTTTGCCATGTGCATGCATGTGTGTGAGCTGCTTAAGCACCCGTTTGCACATGTATGTGAGTGTGTGCCTTTGCCATGTGTATGCATGTGTGTAGTTTGCAGCTGAGTGCACTGCTTTTGTCTGGACTGTGCCCAGGAGGGAATGTGACACCCTTGGGGTCCTTGCCTTTGAAGCTGATCTGTTGTGGCAGCCAGTTCAGCATGTTCAGCAAGATGTTAAAGCCATTGCTCTGCTGTTACTCCCGGGGTCTCACAGCCAGAGCAGGCCAGAGGTGAGGAAGGGGATCCCATGCCTCCTTCATCTCCTCTGTCTCCTTGCCTTCCTAAACAGCTGTGTTTCCCACTGAAAAGGGAGCTGCAGAGCATTTCCACGTGGAGATTCCATCTCGTTTGTATCCAGCTCCATCAGGGGCCTGCTCTCAGGCTCCCCTGGGCGTGTGCGTGAGGTTGGAAGAGGCGGGTCACTGCAGGAATGTGTCGTTCTGTCATGTCACTCTCTCGATGTCTGGTCTCATGGGGTTCCTTACCAATTTAGGGACTTGTTAGGGAGATATCTAGAACTATATTGATAGATATACATCATGAACCAGTTCCCCTTAGGTGTTTCTAAAATGATATAAATTACCAAGGAAATAGCCTTTGGTTAAAGTTCATTATTTTCTGGTCTTGCATTGTTAGCATAGACTGCTGTCTGCTGTCTGTGCCATTTCTATTTCATGTAACTTACTGAGGTTTTCTTTGTGCCCTAATACAAGCTAGTTTTTTGTTTGTTTTTTTTTTTTAACGAATGTTTCAAGTATGTTTAAGAAGAAAGTATAATCTCTATTATTGGAGTACAAAGTTTGATGTAATGTCCCTAAGACCTACCTCCTGTTACTAGCTCTCTGTCATGCTGAGTTATTTTTGACCCCTTACCTTGCCATGGCTGACAGTCATGTGTTAATGATTGCTGTTCTTAGGTTTCTGTTTCTTTCCCCAACATCTATAGTTTCTGCATTATAAAGCCAGCTTCCGTGTTTGGGGTTCTAGCAGATTCTTAACTCATATGGCTTCGCCGCGCACTGGGTCCTCCGGCATCAAGAAGTGCCCTTCTTGGTCTTGCTTCCTGCTTTGAGGTGAGGCTGGACCTTGTCCCACAGGGAGATTGCAATCCCTGCTCTTCAGCCTGGTGCGCTGGCCTCACGTGCTTCTGCTCATTCCTTGACACTGAGCCTTTTCAAATCACTTGGCAATTGTCATGTCTCTTGTGTAAAGCAGAGCTGGCTTTGTGAGCCAAGTGGAAATTTTTCACAGGGCCAAAACCATTTACATTTACTCATGTGTTGCTAGGACCAGTATGTCCAGTCCCAACTGCCACATAACTTGCTCCTGTATTTAATGTGTGTGTTGTGTTTTATTTATTGTGCATCTTTTTATTTTTTACATGTGGTTTGTGTCTTTGCTTTTTTTTTCTGTTGTTTTTGGCATTTAGGAAGGTCTGTGTTTTGTTCTGCTGGCTACTGTTATAAATAACACCTCTCATTGCACCCTTAGTCCCTTGTTTCTTCCTCTGACCTCTTTATTTTGGCTTGTCTGGTGGGATTCTTTTCTCCCACCTATTTTTCATGCTTCAGTCTATGAGCTTATTCTACATTCCTTTTTTTCTGATTCATCTACCTCTGATTTATTTGCTGTATTTTTACTTTTGCAGAACAGCATGCTTCCCGATAAGAAGCTGTTTCACAGCCCACCTCCATCCTTACCCTCACTTTCTCTTTTAGTCTGTGCTCAACAGATTTGTTATTTTTGTTTATGTCAAATTTCCCAGTGGTCTCTTGGCTTGAGGAAGATTCTTTTGTAGTGGGTTTGGGCCTGGAAACACAGTGTTCATTGAGTTCTTAGCTATTTAAAACTATTTCTCTAGAGCTTTAATTTTGAAGGACAGTTTGGCTGACATAAAATCCTTTGGTCACACTTTATTTTTACTTGAGTTTATGAAAATAATTGCTCCACTGTTCACTTACCTTGTACATTGCAGTCAGGAAGTCCGATCCCCATCTGATTTTCTTCCCTTTGTGAATAAGCTGGTCTTTTTGCCTGGAGTCCCAAAGAATTTTCTCTCAGTTGTAATCATTACTGGGGAGTGCCTTCAGGGCCACCGTTCTGGGTCAGTTTGTTCAAGTACATGATGAGCCTTTCAACTTGTCGATTATTTTTTTCCTAAGAACATTTCTAGGATTTTAAGTATTAGGTCTGTTTCGTAGTTTTGCTTTTCTGTTTTGGGAACTCCAGTCTTTGTTTCTTGGGTCTTTGTTGGCCTGGGCTCTGTATCTGGCAGCTTCTCTGCGCGTCTCTCACCTCTTGGTCAGCCTCATGTTCTCTTTGATGTTCTCAGTCCTCCTGCAGTGTTCCTTATGCAGTCATTACCAGTAGAGGGTGTCCAGGTGGCATCTCGAACAAAGGATTGGACAAAACGCACAAACAAAGCAAGGAAAGCAAAAGCAGGGATTTATTGAGAACGAAAGTACACGCCATGGTGTGGGAGCAGCCTGACCATCGGGACTCAGGAGCTTACAGAATTTTCTGGGGTTTCGATACTCTAGAGGTTTCCCCTGGTTACTTGGCGAATATTCTATGAAAATGAAGAGAATGAAGTGAAGTCAGAGTCATTTACTCAGAATGCACCCTACTGTAAATGGAGAGGATGCTACTTGGAGTGTGTGGTCTGTATAAATGGAGAGGATGCATATGAAGTTACAAAGGGTAAATGCCGTGAACGGAGAGGGTGAAGTGCAGTTGCAAAGCTGTTCACATCCCTGTCATTGCTGAGGAGCTTTCATTTGATTTAGTTCTAGGGAGTCAGCCTGGATGGATCAGCCTTCTGTTCCCTGCCTCCTTCTGTTGTCCTGCCTCACACTCAGCTGAATCTCTCTCTTTTGGTACCTTGTAACTTAGTCTCATTTCTAGGCTAATTGTGTCATTCTCTTTCATTTCTGTCCTGGGTTAAATTAATTCTCATTTCACAGTTTTTTGTTTTAACTGTACATTTGTGTTCCTGGTGTTTTTAGTGTTTCATTTCTGTTTCTCAGCTTTTACTCATTTTGCTTTGGACTGCAGCGCTGGGTGGGAGTTCTCAGTTCCATTAGCTGAAGAAGTTTTAGTGCCCACACCCCGTTTTCCTCTCTCAGAGCCATGAAGGACTTCAGGAGTGTCTGCGACTTGGAGAACATCATTTACCCAAAGGGATTTTGCATGCCTTTTTTCTATTTATTTTAAAAGCACTTGGATTTTCCTGCACTAGCAGTAACAGGTGTTTCTAGCTGGGAATGGACATGCCAAGGGACACAGGTGGTTTACCAGGTTTCTTTGTCCAATAGCATCCTTTTTTGTTGGTCAGCAAAAATGTAGGTTCTTTTTAGAAAAAAACTGAATGGTGCATTTGGAGATGGATTAAATCTGTGTCTTCTTATGCCTTGCTATGCTTTTATTTCTGTAGGAAACTGAATTTCTACTCTTTCCATCCTTCCTTCCCTTTTTCTCCCAAGGTTCCAAATATGCCTTTTTTTTTTTTTCTTTTTTGAGACGGAGTCTCACTCACTCTGTCACACTCAGGCTGCAGTGCAGTGGCGCAATCTCAGCTCACTGCAACCCCCGCCTCCTGGGTTCAAGCAATTCTCCTGCCTCAGCCTCCGGAGTAGCTGGGATTACAGGTGCCCGCCACCACCCTGGCTAATTTTTTGTATTTTGGTAGAGATGGGGGTTTCACCATGTTGCCCAGGCTGGCCTCAAACTCCTGACCTTAAGTGATCCTCCCGTCTTGGCCTCCCAAAGTGCTGGGATTACAGGCATGAGCCACCACATCCAACCTCAAATGTGCCTTTTTTTTCCAAGTCTCTCCTCTAAGACCATGCTGAAATTGAAGAAATTAGATGAAATTTGTTCACTATCAGTGAAATTAGAAAACCAGCAATGTATTTAAATTAATATATAATTTAATAAATATTGTTTTAAAATCAGTGTAGATATAAGGAAATACGTAAGTAAGTGCAATTTTATCAAAACATTTCATGTAGACGTCTCACTTGTGAAGTGGAAGCCTGCCTTTGGGTTGAGTCACCTCATTTGGGGTGTTGGGGGGAAGAGCCCCAGGGGGGAGCGCTTGCTGGCACTCTGTCTCCACACTCACACTGTGCCTTGTACTCGAATGCTGAAGAGGTGTTGACTGCTGTGTTGAAGGCAAGAGGCAGTTCCGTTGAAGCCCAGTGCTGGCGGAGAGGCCCTGCACTGGTGCGCTCACACAGCCCTGTGTTTTTGTGTTTTAGGTCGGTAGGCTCCACGACAAAAGTCAACCCTTCTGTAAATCACCTGCTGTGGTTATGATGCTCTGAGTTCAATACGTCTGAACCTTTGCTGTCTATGGATCTGCTCTAAACCTTATAGCCTGCTTATGGGGGAAGGTGAGTTACTGTCTTTTGTTTCCATGTTTGTTTGTTTACCAAGAGTGTATATAACAAAGTCAGACTTACCCTTGACAAATGAAATCTGTTTGAAGTGACACAGTGCTGTATTTCACCCTGCTTCAGTCCACAATGTGCCCTGAAGACTATTCTGTATATGACTTTGGGAAATTGGGGATCCCTGCTTTTGATAGCAGTGAGCTGGTTGTGGTTGAACACCTTTGGGTCCAGTGCCAGGCCAGGTGGTTCTCGCACAGCCTTCCAGCTCTCCCCTGGAGCCAGCCCCGAGAAGCCAAGGAGGCACAGGTTTCAGGAATGAAGGACAAGAAGGCTGTGCTGGGGGCTGAAGATCGTCCTGAGGTGTTTGGAAAGAGTAGGTAATGAGAGCATCAGGAGTGGGGGTGCTGTTTTGGTGGTCTGGTGATACCCTGCAGACATTAGTGCCGTGGCTTGAGCTGCTACCATGAACTTCTGTTGATACAATTGCAAGGAACGTTGGATGAATGAGCAGTTGTGTTTGGAGCTTTTAACATATCCCTTCAAGAAGTAGGTCACCAAAAAATAAACGGGAGTATTAATATCTTAAGCAATATAATAAATAAGTTTGAGCTGTTAGGTATATTTTGAACTCTACATGTTACTTTCTAAGCATACAGAGAGCATGTACAGTACTAGGATGTGTACAGGTGAAGTCTGTCTGTAACATAGGGATGTATGTGTACAGGTGAAATCTGTCTATAACACAGCATGTGGAGAGCATAAGGCAATTATACTGGAAATTAATAGTAAAGGAATAGCTTACATAAATAATATGCTATAAAAAACTCTTGTTAGAAATAAAATCATAAAAGAAATAAAAGAACTTTAGGGCTGAGTGATTATGAGGCAGTATATGTCCAAATTAGCATGACACAGCTAAAGCAGTGCTTAGAAGGACATTTGTAGCTATAAACACGTGTTAAGAAACATGAAAAATTAACTCAAGAGGCTGAAAAAAGAGCAAGAGAGAAAGCCCAAGGATCCATAAGGCAGAAATCAGTGAAATAGAGAGCACAGAAAAACAGAAAATTCACAGCCCTGAAAGCTGTTTTGTGTTTTAGAGTCAATAGTTAGATCTTTGGTTAAAGAAAGTGGAAGGGCCGGGCGTGGTGGCTCACGCCTGTAATCCCAGCACTTTGGGAGGCCGAGGTGGGTAGATCAAGAGGTCAGGAGTTTGAGACCAGCCTGGCCAACATGGTGAAACCCTGTCTCTACTAAAATACAAAAATTAGCCAGGTGTGGTGGTGTGTGCCTTTAATCCCAGCTACTCGGGAGGCTGAGGCAGGAGAATTGCTTGAACCCGGGAGGAGAAGGTTGTAGTGAGCCAAGATTGTGCCCTTGCACTCCAGCCTGGGCCATGGAGTGAGATTGTCTTAAAAAAAAGAAAGAAAGTGAAGGGATGATACTGGTGACAGTCGATGGAACAGAATATAGAAAGGAGTGAATGAGTGAATAAATAAATAAAAATAAATATAGATGGATGGATAGATAGATAGATAGATAGATAGGTAAAGAAATAACCATAGATACAGCCAAGAAGAAAAGTTGAGTACTGTGGGAAACCATATGCTAACACATTTGAAAACATAGGTGAAATTGATAACTTCCTGGGAAAATAGGAAGTGCCAAAATAGACTTGAGAAGAAATAGAGAACTTGGATAAGCCAATAATACTAAAGAAATTTAAGTGACAATCAAAGACTTCCATTCAAAAAAAGTTCTCAGACACATTTTTATGGGTGAATTATACCTAACTTTAAGGAACACTTGATTTCTAACTTACACAGATTGTTTCAGAAAATAGATAATAAAGCTCCCCAGCCCTGAGGCTAGGAAGAAGAGAGGCTGGTCCACAGGTACAAAGTTAAAGTTAGACAGGAGGAGTAAATTCTGGTGTTCTGTTAACAATAGGGTGACTATAGCTAATAATAATATGTCTGTCCAGATAGCTGGAAGACAGGATTTTGAATGTTATCACAAAATCATAAATGTTTACAGTGATGGATATGCTAATTTCCCTGGTTTGATCATTAAATAATGTATACGTGTATTGCAACATCATACTGTATCCTGTAAATATGTACAACTATTATGCGTCAATTATAAATAAAGCTTAAAAAAAGCTGACGGCTTCGAAGGTCGAGGCAAGGAACGTGGCCTGGAAAAGACAAGGGAAAATTTCCCCAAAGCCTTCAGAAGGAACACAGCCCTGCAGCCACCCTGACTTTTGTTCAGAAGGAACACAGCCCTGTAGCCACCCTGACTTTTGTTCAGAAGGAACACAGCCCTGCAGCCACCCTGACTTCTGTTCGGAAGGAACACAGCCCTGTAGCCACCCTGACTTTTGTTCAGAAGGAACACAGCCCTGTAGCCACCCTGACTTTTGTTCAGAAGGAACACAGCCCTGCAGCCACCCTGACTTTTGTTCAGAAGGAACACAGCCCTGCAGCCATGCTGATTTTTGTTCAGAAGGAACACAGCCCTGCGGCCACCCTGACTTCTGTTCGGAAGGAACACAGCCCTGCAGCCATGCTGATTTTTGTTCAGAAGGAACACAGCCCTGCAGCCACACTGATTTTTGTTCAGAAGGAACACAGCCCTGCAGCCACCGTGACTTTTGTTCAGAAGGAACACAGCCCTGTAAACACCGTGACTTGTCTAGTGAGATCTGATTCAGACCTCTGACTTCTGGAAATAGAAGATAATAAATTTGTGATGTAATTTGTAACATCAGCAATAGTAAACTAATACAGTAACTTTTATAGAAAAATGGGTGAAGGATCGGAAAGACAGTTTACAGAAGAAGAAGTACAAAAGGCTGGTGAAGAGATGTGCAAACTCACTTCTTGTCTGAGAGATGCAGAGTGACATGGCGTGTACACTTCCCACAGCTGAGACCAGCAGGAGCGGGCAGTGGACTCGCACCAGGCATTGGGAGCAGATGCGGAAAGTGCACATGCCGCTGGCCAGAGGGGGTGGGCTGGCATGTCTTCTCTGGAGCCTGCTGTGACCTGGCATGCTGTCCTGCATCTCTGTGGTGACAAAATCTCCACGGGTTCATGGAGACAGATGCACACAGCATCTCCTTGTTGTGCTCCGTGGATGTCGGGGTGGAAGGTGACCTCAGTGCCCCTGCCTAGAAGAGTGAAAACCTAACTGTGGCAGAAGCCAGATGCCGTGGGTTGGGTGTGCCAATGGCCCTTAAAGGCAGGGCTGGCGTTACTGGTGGAGGGTGTCCAGGTTCTTGGCGTTTTGAAAAAATAATTGGACAAAACACACAAACAAAGCAAGGAAAGAATGAAGCAGTGAGAGCAGAGATTTACTGAAAATGAGAGCACAGTCCACAGGGTGGGAGCAGCCCGAGCAAGCAGCTCACGGGCCCCAGCGACAGAATTTTCTGGGGTTTCAATACCCTCTGCAGGTTTCCATTGGTTACTTGGTGTACACCCCTGTGAATGGAGAGGGTGTTCCTGTCATGGCTGAAGTGTTTGCATTTGATTTAGTTCTAGGAAGACCTTAGGTTTCTTCCCTGCAGGCCCTCTTCTCCTGCCTCACTGGGTTAAAAAGCTAAGAAACATGAGTGGTGTTAAACCATTCTGCCTGTGTGAGTACAGACGCGTGCATAGGAAATTAAATACACACATACTTTGCAAGAGCATATGTGAGTAAGAGTCAGGCACTCGGTGTTTTAGAATGGGCTCCTGCGTGGTGGCAGTGGCAGGTGGTGGTGATAAGGGCCGGTGAGAATAAAAAGGAGCCGATGGTACGGGGCAGGAGCCGCTCCCAGGAAGCGGTGGTGCCGACGTGTCATAAACTGATATCCGCATCTCAGCCTCTGTGCACGAGGCTAGGAAGAGAAGAGATTTCCAAAAAGGTAAGAGTGGGGCGGGGGGGACAAAAACGCAAAGAAACACAAAGAGCAGCATCCGTGTGAAGTTGGGCCTGGGAGAGAGATGGAAGGGGTGGGATGAGGCCTCTACGTTTCACAGCTCAGTAACCTGGGCCCTGAGAGGCTGTGCGGTTTGTTCCATGCAAGGGCCAGCCTGGACTTGCAGGCTCAAATACGACTCCTCCTGCCCTGCATGTGTGTCAGCTACCACACATGCTTTTTTAAAATTTATTTTTGTTTTTATTTTTAGTTGTTGTAAAATGTACATAACATAGAATTTTCCATCTTAACTATTTTTTAGCATACAGTTCAGGGATATGCTGGGCAGCCATCACCACCATTATCTCCAGAACTTTCTCAACTTTTTGAACTGAATCTCTGTCCCCATTAAACCCTCCCTCCCCCAGCCTCTGGCACCCAGGATCCTACTCTCTGTCTCTAGGAATCTGACTGCTCTAGGGACCGCTACACGTGGAATTATATGGCATTTGTCTGTTTGTATCTGGCTTCTTTCTTTTAGTCTGCTGTCTTCAGGGTTCATCTACACTGTGGCATGTGTGAGAATGTCCTTCCTTTTGAAAGCTGACCGATATCCTGTTGTATGTAAAGACTGCAGCCATCAGTGGACAGGAAGGCTTCACCCGTTTGGCTGTTAGGAGCGGTGCCCTTGTGTGTGCCTATCTCAAGTGTTTTATTCTTTGTGATGCTATTGTAAATAGAAGTGTTTTCTTAATTTCCCTCTTGGATTGTTCACTGTGAGGAGAAGATGCTCTTTGATGAGACTGAAATGAAGCTGGGTGTGGGCTCTGGGTGGGTGGAGCAAGCACTCCGAGCCTCTGCCCCGCGGAATGCAGTGGTCTGAGAAGTAAGTAGCAGGAGTGCTGGAGGAAATGGAAACTTACGATCTCTCCTGCCTGAGTTCACAGCAGGCTGAAACCCAGAAGATGGCAGAAAGCTGACAGAGAGCTCCAGGAGGAGCCTCTCGGAACAGCTCGAAGAGCAGGAAAGGGGACCCTAGGCAGCCTTATGGCGACAATAGTGGTGCCAGGAATGGCCAAGGGGGTCCGCAGGGGCCCCCAGGCTCCACCACGGAGGGAGGGAGCCTTCCTCTCCAAGTCTGGCAGCGATGCCCAAGTGCCTTCTCTCTCTCTGCGCTTTCCCACAGCTGATCCTGGAGGAGTGCACCTGGGAAGCCAGTGCACAGAGCTGGAGCTTCCCGACTGCAGGAGGGAAAAGAGGAATCCTGGGATCTGGGAGGCACAGGGAGGCCAGCACAGACGCAGGCTCCGGAAGCCCACGGAGAGGGCTGGGCATTCTCCCACACTCATCCCCAGCTTCACATACACACATCCGCCCTCAAACAGCCCATCACAGACCTTGAGAACCGCACCATGGGGTGGACTGCTGCCCAGTTCCCAGACCCCACACCCCACCAGCACAGAGGGGGGCATGCGTGGGAAGGCCTGGAGAGCCCTGCAAAGACCGAAACAACCAACGTGGGAACCACATACAGAGCCCCTTAGAGTTGAAGCCTGAACCCAACCAGGCCGGTTGCCTCCTACATCTGAGATATAAATGCTCTCTCTGGGATTTAAATGAGACCCAAGGCTGCCTCCGTACCCCGCCACCCTAGGTCTGTGCTGCAGGCCATGCAGTGTGTGGGGTCAGGCCCACGTGTCTGTCTGCCTTCTGCCCGGGATCCAAGTGCCCGATGGCCTGAGGGCCGGACCCCACACAGGCACAGAACGCGCTGCAGAGGTGACAGGCGGGTGGAACCCAGGGAGACAGAAAACCTCCTGCCAGGGAAGTTGCTCGGCTTGGAGAGAGGACTAAACTCTGACCTTTTTCCTCTCTTGCCCAAATTCCTATCTAAGGAGCCTGGGGAGTCACACCGTACAAACCGTAACATCTCATGAGACAGGTTTTATTTAACCCAATATAACGTGGCTTTTCAATCTGACTGTGGCTTCACATCACATGACAGATAAAGTAGGAAACAGAAATATTTTACCCCAAAATATGTTTATTTGCCATATTTTGAAATGGGCCTCCAAAGCCATCTTTTATGGGGGAAAGTTTGCATCTGTAAAGAACCTGTATTAACATAACTGGATCTTTCCCCTTCCAGACCCTCCCAATCCTGAGGAGCCTGGCTGAGAGTCTAGTGCCTTGTGAAGGTCTGAATAGGAAACATTTGCCATGTATTGCCTCTAAGGGTGGACACCTATGAGATTTCATCCACATAATAAGGACCTTGGTCTCCACAGCCCCTTCTCTTAACCCAGACACTCCTTTCTATTGATTCCAGGCCTTCAGATAGTAACTTAACTCATTCAACCAAGTACCCATCAGAACATCTTTTAATTCATCTGATAGAGCTTGGATATTTGCCCTACCCACATCTCACATGGAAATGTGATCCCGAGTGTTGGAGGTGGGTCTGGTGGGAGGTGTTTGGGTCATGGGTGCGGCTTCCCCATGAACGGCCTGGGCCATCCCCTGGTGATGACCGAGCTCTTGTCCTTGAGTTCACAGGAGACCTAGTTGTGTAAAAGTGTGTGGCACGCCCCCCCCACCCCCGCTCTGCCCCGGTGACGTGCCTGCTCCTCTGCCTCCCGCCATGATCGCAAGTTTCCTGATGTCAAAGAAAAAAGTCCAACTCTGTAAAATATTTGAAGAGATTTATTCTGAGCCAAATCTGCATGACCATGGCCTGTGACGCAGCCCTCAGGAGGTCCTGAGAACATGTACCCAAGGCGGTCGGGTACAGCCTGGTTTTATTCACTTTAGGGAGGCATGAGACATCAATCAAATACATTTAACAAATACATTGGTTTGGTCCAGAAAGGTGGGACAACTCAAAGTGAGGGCTTCCAGGCTATCAGTAAATTTAAACATTTTCTTGCTGACGGTTGAGTTTGTCTAAAGACCTGGGATCATAGAAAGGAAATGCTCAGGTTAAGATAAAGCATTGTGGAGACCAAGGTTCTTCTGAAGTCTCATAGTGGCTGTCCTTAGAGACAGTCGATGACAAATGCTTCCTGTTCAGACCTTTAAAAGCTGCTGGACTCTCAGTTAATCTCTTCAGGATTGGGAGGGCCTGGGAGAAAAAGATCAAGCTATGTTAATAGAGATTCTTTACAGATGCAAATGTTCCCCCACAAAGGACGGCTTTGTAGGACCATCTCAAGATATGGCAAAGAAACATGTTTTGGGGTAAATTATTTTGTATTCTTTGTCTCATAATGTTATGCCAGGTTGGAAAGTAAGTCACAATATAGGGTTAAATAAAACCCATCTGATGAGAATTTATGGTTTGTAGAGCATGACTCCCCAGAACCCTTAGATAGGAATATAGGCAAGAAAAAAAATCAGAATTGAGTCCTCACGGAGGCCCCTCTCCAGAAGCCAAACAGATGCCAATGCTGAGCCTCCTGTATGGCCTGCAGAACCCTGAGCCAGCTGAAATCCTTTCTTTATAAATTACCCAGCCTCAGGCATTCCTTTATGACAATGCAAGAACAGCCTAATACACCACCTATAACCCCCCACCTTTGAGCTGTCCTGCCTTTCTGGACCTCAAAGCAGAGCACACCTCACTATATCTCCCTAAACCATATAAAACCAGGCTGCACCCCAGCCACCCTGGGCACAAGTTCTTAGGTTCTCCTGAGGCTGTGCCTCAGCCATGGTCACTCACATTTGGCTCAGAGTAAATCTCTTCAAATATTATTTTGTAGAGTTTAGCTCTTCTTGTTGACAGGAGCCAGCATGTACCAGTGACCAGAAAGCCTCAAGCCCTGGTGCTGGCTTCTCTGCCACTCTTGGACCCATGAGCCCTGGATGGGATGGGGAAACAGGGCTGCCCCCCAGGGCCTTGCTCTCCAGTGTTGACGGAGGTGTCGTGGGAGAGGCTCGCAGAGGGCAGGGGTGTTGCCTCCCCCCACAGCCAAGCCAGGCCTCCCCCATTCCCACACCCTTCCCACTGACCGTGCTCCTCAGACCCACCCTGCACTCCTGCCTTGCGGGCCATGCCCCAGGGAGCCTCATGGACCTCCCTTACCTCCCTCCAGTCTCTGACCTGTCAACCAAAATGGGATTGTGGCAGATCTTAATCCGCTCAGAGGTTTATTTTGCCAAGGTTGAGGACTCGCCAGGGAGAGAGACAGAAGTTACTGTAGGACCTGTTGCCTGGGATTTTTCCGAAGAGACTTTTAGGACTTTCGTATTTGAAGGGGAAAGAGCTGGCGGGAGGCGGTAGAGGACCTGTCATCTACGCACGGTCTCTCCAAGAATCTGCATTTCCCATAAGGTGAAGTAAACCTGGAGCAGAGGAAGACATGCATGTGTCTCGGGCTGGGCGGAGGAGGAACGGCTTCTCGTCTTGTCTTAGTCCTGTACCTGTGAAGATAAGCTGTTTATTGACACTGTCAGGGTGAGAGTCAGCAGGACACTGCCTTAGGGTACAGACTGGGGCCCAGAGGGCATTTCCGTGTGGGCAGCTGGTGAGGGAGGCCCCTGGGGAGCCTCGCAGCCTTCTATCTGCAGCTGTCTGCTTAGGACCAAAAGGAAGGCCACCTTTGCATGACTCTGTTCCCAAACTGAACTCCTCGTCATAGTGGGTTTGGGGTCCTGAGATTTTATTTTCCTTCCACAGTTCCCAGGTCCCCCTTCAGTGAGGTCTTCCTGATGGATGCTGATATGGTCTGGCTGTGTCCCCACCCAAATCTCATCTTGAATTGTAGCTCCCACAATTCCTACAGGTCATGGGAGGGACTCAGTGGGAGGTAAGTGAATCATGGGGGCGGGTCTTTCCCGTGCTGTTCTCGTGATAGTGAGTAAGTCTCATGAGATCTGATGGTTTTCTAAAGCATAGTTCCTCTGCACGTGCCCTCTCTTGCCGGCCACCATGTAAGACGTCCCTTTGCTCTTCCTGCATCTTCCACCATGATTGTGAGGCCTCCCCAGCCATGTGGAACTGTGAGTCCATGAAACCTCTTTCCTTTATAAATTACACAGTCTCGGGTATGTCTGTATTACCAGCGTGAGAACAGATGAATACAGACGCCATATAAAACCCCAATCCAGCCTTTCCAGCCTTGTCTGCTGCCACCAACTCCTGCTGCTTGTCCACTCCTTTGCTGGTGTCACCGTCCTTGGGATGTGAGCTCTGTGAATGCCCGGCACTGTGCTGTGGTATCAGCAGGTCCCCGACCAGGAACAGCTGAGCCAGGAGGGGCCGTGCTGCAGAGGTGGCCAGCGGGTCAGCCGGGCCGGGAGGCGCTGTGCAGCAGAGGTGGCCAGCGAGTCAGGGTACAAGGCCAGAGAGGGTTCTCTGAGAGAGAATTGCATCATATGGGGGTTCCCCTGCATGGCTATGCATCAGAAGCAGGGATGAATCCATTTCACACTCTCCCCATTTACTGCTTCAGAGCCCCTGGGGAGGAAAACTCCCAGGTTGCCCAGGAAACTCCAAGGTGGCCCTTGGGACCCTGGACAGCTGGCCTTCCACTGGCTGCCAGCCTCACCCTGGCTCCCTGCCTCTGCTCAGGGAAGGCCAGTCCTAACACGCGACATCTCCCCTCTTGGAGAAACCACTAGGGGCAGCCGTCAGTGTGATGGGTGGGCGCCTGGCCCCAGAGCGGGCTCCACACTCGGCTGGGCACCTCCCTCTCCAGGGCCTGTTCCAGCACTGAGTGCGCCTTTGGGGATCGTGCACCGTGAGCAGCACAGCTGGACCCCAGGTGAGGGCACTTCACCTCCCAGGCCTGGTCTCCACACCCGGGTCACAGAGAGACATGTCAGCTGAGGAAGCAGGGCAGGCGGCCTCTTCCTTCAACACCTTTAACTTCCTTTAAATGGAGAAGGGAGGCTGCTCCTGGGGAACACAGAGGGCCGCTCCACTGTAAAACCACAGCAGCTGTGCACCAGGATGGGCCTCAGGGACCAGCCAGCCCAGGGATGGCCGGTGCCCCCACCCTCTGACAAATGCACCCAGGAGTCAAGCATGGGGGTGTCCTCGGCACCTGGATTGGAAGGTTCTTGCCATTGTGGATGGGGTCTAACCTCCTGGACTTCAGTGGGTAACCGAAGGCTCCAGCACGCAGCTTCAGAAAGACCAGAGCCAGGCCCAGGTGCCCTCTCCAGCCGACATCCGGGCTGTGGCCTCTGGGCTGCTTCTCCTTCCTGTGGCTTCCAAGTCCCAGGGTACATCGGTGCCCTTCTGTGTCCTGGCAGTTTTAGAGAAAAGGAATGAAGCAGCTGTATTCACATACATGTAGTAAATGTGAAATTTTCACAGCAGCACCATTAGGTCTCTAATTTTATTACGTCGAAAGTTGCATGTTGGCAGGAGTGATATGGCTAACAGCAGTTAGGACTGTGCAGCTGACTTGGTTGACATTTTACACCATGTTGCTGTCTGTGTTGAACACGCAGTTGGGGCTGCAACTTACATGGCCTTTTATCCTCTTTCTACCGAAATGGTTGGAAAACAGAAGGGTTCCATGGAGAAATGGCAGATTCTGGGTGGGGAAGCACAAATGAGCCTGAGCACATGACAGCCCCAAGGTAGAAAACCCATCGCCCTGGAGGGACACCGAAGCCCACCTGAAAGAGCCTCTCATGGCCAACAGCAAAGATCGTGCGAGGCTGCGTGACAGCGCAGAGTAAAACAGGCACAATGCAGACTGCGGGGGAGATGGACAGCCCTTCCTTACACAGGCAGTTACACACACGTGATGCAGCTGTGCCCCTCCGGCCGGCAGCGACCCCTCCCCTGAGCGTGGCCCTGGGAGCAGGATTGGTAGAGGAAACAGTGTGGCGAGGAGCAGCCCTTGGCAGCGACCCCCGTGGAGGTGCAGTGCTCGCCTTGGGTGCAAATGACTGTGTTCGGCCTCCACTCCGAGGCTGCTGGCAGTGACCCCTCCGAGCAGGGCCGCTCTGTACCTCCCCTCGCCCTCACTGGGCTCTTGGCGGCACTGAGCCAGCGGCTCCTCCTGCCCATCCTGGGCCCTGTGGAGGCCCCTGCCCCAGTTCCCCTCCTGCCTCTGGGCTGCTCCTTCCCAGTCACACCCTCAGCTCCTCCCTTCACAAGCGCTGTGGCTTGGTGTGCAGCCGCCTCCATGCCTTCTCACCTCTGCCAGCACCCCCTCTCAGCTGCTGCCTGGTCAGCTTCCTTCTCCCCACCGCACACAGCAGGTGAGAAGGCCACTTACCCACAGCACCCACCTGGGCCTCACATCTGCTGGTAGCCACCCACCTTCCACCCCACTGGCAACCAGGCCCTGCCTGCCTGTTCTGCTTTGCCTTCCAGCAGGCTGTTTGTGAACACCACAGGCCCACCCACACCAGCCTCAACGCTCAGTGTCCAGTCCTGCCCCAGCCAGCTGGGGCAACAGCCTGGGCCCTTGCCAGCCTGGGTGCCAGCCCCACCACCCAAGCTTTAGGGCCAGAGCACGCCTTGAGTGATTCTGCCATTGTTCTCCCCATCCGTAACAGGAACCCCACACCGAGAGCTGCTCAAGATTAAATTAGTCAGCAGTGCCAGATGCAGAGCGAGAGTTGTCTTAATGTGGCCACCGTATCCTCCTCCTCTTCTTCCCTGACCCCTCCGTGTTCATAAGCTCAGTGCTTGCAGACCGCACCGAGGGCAGAGCCTGCCCAGTGGAGAGGAATGGACTGGATGGCGCCAGCTGGGCCTGCTTCTCGCCCTGCACTTCAGCTTGTGCCTCCTTTGGCCCCAAAATTATAGGTACAGACTACAAGGAAATAAGAGAGAGACAGAACGGGATCCACTCAAAGGTCATGGTTTTAGTCCGTTTCTGCTGCTAGAACAAGATACCCAACACTGGGCAATTTATAAACAGAATCAATGTATCACTCACCATTACGGAGGCTGGCAATCCAGGATCAAGACTCTAGCAGGTTTTGCGCCTGGGAAGGGTCGGCCTGTCTGAGACAGCACCTTGAACGCTGCTTCCCCTGGAGGCCACGAACGCTGTGTCCCCATGGTGGATGGGATGTAAGGGTAAAAAGGACCCTGCTAGTTTTCTTGAGCCTTTTTATGAGGCACTGGTCCATTTCTGAGAGCGGAGTCTCATGGCCTAATCACCTCCTGATACCATCACACTGGGTCTTAAGTTTCAACATAGGAATTGGGGCGGGTGGGGGGACACGTACATTTAAATCATAGCAACAAACATTACATTATTAGTTACTGTAACAATTCAAAATACCTGGAATTGTCAGTCACTGCAGATTTTTATGCATCAGAATAAATGCATAAAAATGCACAAAATGCAATACCGTGGGGAATCTGCTCCCTTTTATGCAGACTTCAATATAGTAACATAGAAAAATATTTCATGTATAATAGCAAGAAAAACAAACATGGTTGGTTACTATTTTTGCTAAAAAGATATAAAAACACAGGCCTACTAGACCAAAGTCTGAATAGGCAGATCTCAAGATAACACATATCAACCGTGGTCCTTCTGGGTAATGATCAGTGACAGGTTTTTCTTTTGCATGTACACATATTCTATTTTTTTCTGTATGAACCTCCGATACTCGTTATTTTAGCTTCTTTCTTTAATAAGCAATCGACTGACTTTGCTTGGTCAGTAAGACATGCAGGACACCACACACTGTCTCTGTGCCTTGTCTGGCATCAGAAAGCTGCAAGCACATTGTGTGGGCCCCAGCAGGAGCCAGCTCAGCCTGTCCCCGACGAAACCGGGCCCTCTTCACAGCCCAGTGGCTTCTCTTTGCATTCACATTTCACTTCTGCCTGTTGTGTGTGCTTTTCCCATTACCGCCCCTGAGTCTTGTGTAACATGGTGGGATCAAGGTAAGAAGCCTGTAACAGAACAGAGGGTGACTTTCTCCTACTCTGTGGCAGAAGTGCCTAGTTTGATGGGTGGAGCAGTGTGCATCCTGTACCTCCTCTCTTGGCCCCGAGTGTCTGGGCTGTGGGGTCCTGGGCTAGGCCTTTCCACCCCACCTACCTGGGGCACAGCTGGCATCAGGACCACATTTGAGGCTGCAGCTCGTCCACTCAGCTTTGCATGGGTCTTTCTTGTGGGGCAGACCTGGAACATCTCAGTCACAACAAAGAAGAAAACAGGGAAAGGAGGGAATTTCCAGTTCATGCTGTTTCAGGTACCTCCTCCTGGTGAGGAATAGCCTCATCCTGCAGTCCATGAGGACCTGCAAGAGCGTCACCAGCCAAGCCCAGGTCAGCCCCGCTGTCCGGGTAGGGACCTGCTTTATGCCTACGCCACCCATGGCAGACTGGCGGCAGCAGCAGCAAAAGCTCGTGTCTTAGGAGCTGTGTTGGGATTAATGCTGGGTCCTGGGGTTTCTGCCCCCACCCACCCCTTCCTATTCCAGGGGCTTAGCTGCTGCGGCCGTGTGTCCTACAGGCTCGCCGGGCTGTTGAGTCGCCCCTGTTGGGGGAAGGGGGTATTGAAATGACAGCGCATGAGTGCTGGGTCCACCCTCCAAGGGCATGAGGGGAGCTGGGCAAAAAGTGGGTCACATGTGCCTGGCCCATGTCACGCGGCTCCCGCCCGAGGCCAATGGGGTGGGCAGCCTCCCTCGGTGGAGAGCGAAGCACCACTCTCCTTTTTCTCCGGTAGCATCTCATCTTGTCTAAACGGGGAGAGTGGCCATCTGTCCGATACCCACATCAAACCTGATCGTTCCCAGCCTCACAGAGCTGCTTTGTTCCAAGGTAAGGGATTGAGGGCCCTGGGTGAGCGGTCCGCGGGCAGGACGGTTGGCTGAGATTGGCTTCGACGGGAGTCCCAGGCAATGTGGCAGGCAGAGTTTGTGCTTGGTTGACTGTCGGGGAAATGCCTAGAGGAACCGCATAGCCGTGCACGATGCGTTACGATGAAAAAGCGGAAATTGTGTTAGGTTTAAGCCCGCTCAGATGATGAGGCTCCCGTCAGGCCGGCTGTTCCACTAACAGGGTTCCTTCTGAGGACCCATAGCAAGTGTCAATAATCTTCTTTACTAGTCGAGTGTTATTATTTATGGAAACATAAACGTGGCTTTACGGATGTTTATCAATCAGAGATACTGGATGTGGTATGGGAGTGTGACTCTCACCTGTGCAAACACTGGTCACCCTTGTGGGGCCAGACTTTTCTGTCTGATGAGTGCCTTCCATCACTGCTTCTGTGGGTGAACGCTGGCCTCTGAACTGAACAGGTGATTACATCCCCGCCACTAGCGTGGGGTACTGAAGTCCAACATCCGAGTGAGGCGGGGTCATGGGTGCTGCCGATGGATGGAGAGCATGCACTTTTGCAGCTTGGTGCTTAAAATGGGGAAGAACATGATTCTCTTAACCTCAGGAAGGCCAGTGAGCAGGATTTCTGTGTGATGAAGCCATCAGGGAATGCATAATACTTCAAAATGTTGAGAAAATGATGCTGAGTTTTTCAGTTCATAAGTTACAACAAAATTTTATATTTTCACCTATTGTAAATGAACTAAAGTGTTCCCTTAGCTCAGGATCCTTCTGGTGAACGTATTTTGGCAGTTGTGAGTACAATAGAGAGGGTTTGCAGTGTCTGTGTGGTGTGTCGACCATCGCTGCCATGTTTAGTCACATTTCCTGCTCCTGCTTGCATTTGCTGGGAAAAATGTTCCCAGAAATAGCTTGCCAGAGCCAAAGTCATAACGGAGTTTGATTTGAATGTGTCCTATCAGTTTTTCCTTTCAGAGATAAATATTTTAAATTTGTGTTTTAACTCGCTTTCCAGGCAAGTGGGTCTGTGACCAAGTTCATAGAAATAAATATGAACACTTTAGATTTTTAAATTCTTCTACATTTTAGTTGTATCGAATAGCAGTTGTACCCTTGATAACAAAAAGAAGCTTTTCTCTGCGTGAAAGTAATGCCTTTTGAAAACATTCTGCATTTAGGCTAATACCCAGTTCCCACCAACTACAGCCTTCAAATGAATTTCATGTAATATTTCTAAAGGACTGTTTCTTACCCACTGCCAATCTTGAGGAAAGGGAATTTTTCTCTCATTTCATTAAGATGGGGTAGAAGAATTTAATGTTTTTCATATTTATGATTATAAATGCTTCTTTTACGCTTGGGGAAAGTCCCACTTATTTTGATGCAGTTTTTAACATTATCTCCATTCTTCTGCTCCACCTGACGTGTATCCCAGAACTTGGCTTAATGGGAGCAATTAGTCATCGTATGTGGTCAGAAGACAGGGAGATGCCGCTGTAATGAGCATGCCTGCTCATGTTTAAAAAATTACAAAATCGTAGCCCACCCCCAGTCGCCTTTAGGGGAGAATGCGTACCGCTATCTCCAGGAACAAAGCATGCCCTGCGCGGCCGGTGCTACTGGATGGATATTCCTTCGCTTCTATCAGTGGAAGATATCGCTGTTCCTGCAGAAATAACGAAATGGAACAATGCAGAAGCAACAAGGTGATGTCCCCTTTGTACTTCTCAGAAGAACCTCCGTGCCTCCCGCCCCATCCGCCACTGAGTATCTCATGCAGCGGCGTGTCCTCTGGCACCAGGCAGGGACTGATGTTCTCCCTCACATTGGCCTCATTCCTCTGGGTCCTGACTCATTTGGGAACTGAAAGGGCTGCTCGGTGGAGCTGGGTTTGAGGATGGTCTTCCACAAGGCCCTGCAGACGCCACACAGCCTTCTCCATGTGTGGGGTGTGTGTTATCACCCGGAGCTGTGGGCTCTGCTCGGAAAGCGGGGACTGGTGCTGCTTCTGCACGGCCAGGACCTCGGCAGGGCAGGCGGCTGTCCTGCAGAGGCCTCAGGCGGGCTCAGGGTGTGCACCCCCCACAGCCGGAGCCTCCCAAAGAAACATTTTCACCCCAGCTGAGGTGACTGAAGGGACTCAGGGCCACAGGCCGGATGCTATGACAGGGTCTCCAGGACCCCCGCATGGACTGGACCATCTGTGGGCAGAGCCAGCAGGCTTGGCCTGTCCTGCCGCACTCCAGCCAGCAGAATAGCAGTGGGCTTCCTTCTCCAAGCATGGGCTGCGGTGTTTCAATGAAATAGGACAAGTCAGTGGCTCTCCACGTGTGACCCCTGGACCCCCCTTGCCATCACCTGAGAACCTTCTGGACCTTCTGGATCTGTAAATTCTCAGCTTTCCTCCCCACCAGACTATGTCAGAAGCACTGAGGTAGGGCCCAGCTGAGTGTCCACACCTTGCACCCAGGGCCAGGGGCACAGCCTGTGCTGTTCAGTGAGCCATCAGGTCAGATATGAACCAGACAGACCTGTGGCCCAGTGACAGGAATTCCAGGTGCACAGGCCAGGGTTCTTATCGCAAGGAAATGACACAGGGCCTGCCCCATCTGCCCTGATGCCGAGCAAAAGAGAGGCTCATGGAACGTGAGAGGAGAAGGGGCTGTGGAGAAAATGTGGTCCTGCTCGCTCATGGTTAAGGTTAACAGGAACCCAAGACAGAGGCTGGGTGGGAGGGACGTTGTGGCAGAGGCTGTGAGGCCTCCAGGGGCTCAGGAGAAATGAAGGGTCTGTGTCTCTGGGGCAGGAACCAGCCACAGATGGCCTTAGGGGAGGAGAGGACCTGGGGAGGGGTCTGGTGGGAGGCGGGGGTGGCTGGAGCAATCCCAGAGAGGCTGAGGTGTTCAGGCTGGCCCCAGATGCACACGAGCGTGAAGCCTGTTCAGAAGCCAGCTCCTCACACCCTCTCCCCTGCCAGAGGCTCCAGCACCCCCTCCCCTCTCCTCTCCCCTCCCTTCCCTGTGGTCCTCCTGCCCACCCCACCCCCGTCTGCATGTGCACCGTCACGGAGATGCGTGTACTAGGGCGGAGGTCGGGGACAGTCGTCAGAAGGACACAGGAAAGAAGGGAACAGGAATCCCATAACAGAACATTATCCGGCAGGAGTAATTAACACAGGCAGGACTGGAGGCTTTGTTTTGTTTTGCTTAAAAAACAGTGGTATTTAAATTAATGGGCATGGGAAGACTATTCAGTGAAAGACATCGGTCATTGAGGTATCTATTCAAAAACACGGTTTAGTACTCTGCCACACACCGAACGCAACGCCACAGCAGCCATAGAAGCGTGTGTGGCTGTTTAACGTGGTCTTTTTGGGGAGGGCATCCTAGGCAGAGCAGGCGTGGAAGGGAAGGCGGCGGACGGAACAAAACGCGGGCACGCAACGGCTGCTGCGCCGGATCTGAGGCAGGGCCAGCCTGTGGGAGCAGCAACATCGCTCGCAGGACAGCGATGGAGCCCCCACGAATCCGCGTGAAAGCAGCAACCACCTAGAAATGAACGTACAGCTGCTTAGAAACAGAATACGGATGACCCGAAAGACTTCCCGATGGTAGTCACCAGCATACAGGACCTGACACGGGCGTGCGGGCAGGGTGTGCCGCTACGGGGTCCCTGGCGCACCTGCTACCCCTGCTACCCGCATTCACCGCACGCGGAGGGTGCGGGCCGTGAAGGTTATACATGCAAATATCCTTCCACCAGCCAGTTCTCCTTCCAGGAATCTGCCACCCGACCCTTGTGTTGTGCACAGACATGGTCCAGGTGTTTGCGACGTGATTGTTTATCAGAGAGAGAGAAGGGAAATCTCCAGGCTCGCTGTAGCTGCAGGAGCTCTGGGGGCTGCGCCCATCGTGGAGACGGATAGCTGTCTCTCATGAACACAGGACAGCAAGTCCGGCTGCGGCCACAGAAGACTCGCCCTCCTGGACGCAGCGTCTTCCTTCCTCAGCCCCACACTGGAGGTGGCCAGTGCCATCCACAGCAGAAGGGGCCAGCCGGGACCAGGCTCACGCCGTGGAATTCTGCTCTGTGGTAAGAGGAAGAGCGATAGCTGGAACCCAGCGCCGTCGCACACACAGCGGGGAAGAGTCTCAGAAATGTTACTTTGAGTCAAAAAGCTGGACAAAAAAAGGCGCAAGCCAGATGGTGCTGAAGAGGCCACAGGAGGCTGGCAGCCAGGGGGTCTGGCACCTCACTCGGAGGCGCAGTGGGCCCGTCCGGAATTAGTGGCCATACGGCAAGTGCCGAGTGGACATCAAACCGTCACTTCAGACTCCTGCGCTTCACTGCCTGTCGGTTATGCCTGGGTTTTGAAATCAAGTCACAGAACACCTGGAATGTGGTGTTTACGCAGAACAAAGCGGGTGCCTCGGAGGAGAGAGCCTAGGGACAGGGGCACCTCCCGGTGTGGGTGCCCAGGGTTGCAGGGTGGCTTCCTCTGTCTGCGCGGTTTTCAGAGCCCCAGGGTCCTGCCTGCCCGGCTGCCTGGAGGCGGCCCACATCCTGCTCTGCGCCGCCGAATCTCAGCCTGAACAGCTTCGCTGGTGTTTGTGTTGACTTATTTGTTCTTTTTTTTTTTTTTTTTTTTTAAATAAAGGATTCCGATGCTGTTACAGTCAATAAAAGCCACAGGTCTGGGTGACCTACAAATGTGTGTGTCTGACTTTCTGCAGTTTAAATCGCCACTGAGCCTTAAGGCGTCTGGCCCGCGCATTGAGGAATCCACGTGGGTCTCGGGGTCCCCATGCCTGCCCAGCTCCCTGCTTCAGCCTGGGCGGGTCTGGCGGGCATTTCTGCGAGCCTGTCCCTGGGCCCGCCTCCTGGCCAGACTTCCAGAAACATTGTCCACATCCCCGTTGCACGTCCCCCCGTCACCGGAAACTGCAGCCCACAGCACTGGGAAGAACCCGGGAGGCAGGCGTTAGGACGGGGTGGCCGAGACAGGGAAGGGAGCCATGGCGGACGTCCTCACCCAAGCCAGGGCTTCCTGCCCCTGTGGTACTGACAGGAGCCCCGCAGGACGTGGGGTTGGCTTTGGGCAGCTCGGTGGACACTTCTCTTTCAGATCCTGCCACAGCAAAGCTCACGAGACTCACTTCTTCCCATTGGAATTCACTAAGAACAAATTCAACAATTCAGACGCCCCAGCTGGAGGTTTATTTTATGGATTTTACCTGTG
The DNA here is from genome assembly GCF_000001405.40 of Homo sapiens. Taxonomy (NCBI): domain Eukaryota; kingdom Metazoa; phylum Chordata; class Mammalia; order Primates; family Hominidae; genus Homo; species Homo sapiens. The sequence continues at coordinate 45,869,023 of NC_000021.9, forward strand.
CGGTATTTAGGGTTGTGTTTATGAATAAAGGTGTGCGTTCTGGCAAGTAGAAATACAGAGCTTGTCTTTCACCCAAGTATCTGTAACTTTCTCCAATGCAGACACTAAAATGCAATAAAAACAAACCAAACCCATTAAACATGAATTAGATGAGGCAGGCTGATGGGAGGTTGTGGGATTAACAGGCCGTCAGCGGATTGAAGCTGCGCACATCGCTGGGATGCTGCTGCGGGAGGATTCGGTCTAATCCGGGAGCATCTGGCTGGGCAGTGGGCAGCGTCTGCAGTCGTGGCTGCTTGAAGGTATGAAGGTTGTGGCCTTTGCTTCCCCCCATCAGGCTGCCCCACCCTGGACCCCACCCAGACCCCTCGGGCACCCTGGGGTCATCTTCAGCTCCCCCTTCTCTTCCTTCCTTCTCTTCCGCCTGGGCCCCTACTGTGACCCGAGGTCAGCAGAGGACCCTGGCAGGTGGCTGCTCCCTGGGACTCGACTGTGCAGGTGAGGCTTGGGGTGACCGCTGCTCCTGCTCCTGCTCCTCTCGCCGTCCCCACCCTCCTCCATCATGCTGTCAACATGCATGTGGGCTGCAGCCCTCAGCCTGCAGGACGCTGTCAGTGCAGCTCCTCAGTGGCCAGGGCAGCTCCACCACTGGGAGGAGATGGGTGTGGAGACCTCGGTGGACAGAAGGGCAGTGGGGCCTGGGGAGTGTGACCCCAGGGCCCCAGGGCCTGTCCCCTCGCCACCAACGTTGCATGCCACCACACCTGGCACCTCTTTGGATCCCTGCAGCCCTGATCACAGAGCTGCGTATGCATTCCCTCGCAGGCAGGGCCCACCAAGGTGCTGTGGCCGCACTGGGGTTTAGCACCAGTGCCTTCAAACCAGTGGTGCCTGGCCCAACCACTGACTCACACTGTGCTTAGCTTTTTAGTCGGATTTTTTTAGCTGTTAGTCACACTTCAGACTTTAATTTTTTGTGTATGTTTCTTATCTAAGTTATCTTTATTTTTATTGAATTTATTTTTGTTCATTTATTTTTTAGTTGTAATGTTATCGCTTTATCTTAATCTTCATAAATCTATTTTAACTACTTTTATCATTTATTTATCTTGTATCACTCATTTTATTCCCTTTAAAGTTTTACTCAACATTTATTATCTTCTGGGTTTTTCTTAGTGATTTTTTTTCTTTTGGGAAGATTCTTAATGGTTTTAGTTGCTTTAGCTTATATCTTTTTTAAGGAGATATTTTTAGCAGATACCATTTGTCATATTCTTAAAATATTAAGACGCTGAAAGAAATGATTTGCTAATCTAATTTTAGCTTATTTTCCTGTCATAATAGAGTGGTCTATCATCTTACCTGTGATGACGAATGAGTCTCCTAAAAACATTAATTCATGCATCCACGGGACCTGCCAGCCCCATGCACACCCTTCCTAGGGCAGCAGGGAGGCCGGGAGCTGCGTCTCCTGCTTCCCTCCTCCCCAGCCCTCCATGGAGACACTCATGACCACCGCCTGCAGCCTTGTGCGGCCAGACCCGGTTGGGAGCAGCTCTGGTTGGCTGGAAGCTCCTGGGGTCTGAAGTGATGAGGCCTGGCCCTGCACCCCGGGCTCTTCCTGTGCACAGCAGGGTTGACTGGGAGGACCAGAGGGTCCAAACCCTACTGCCACTGCCCACCGCCTGCCACGCGACCGTGGGCCAAGCCACTCAGTGCCTCTGGCCTCTGGCCTCTTTCCCCAGCTGCGTGTGTCCAGCTAGCAAGTTTGTGAGTAGTGTTACCCTGTTTCTGTTCCCACCACACTCATCCTGTTCTGAAGGCAGAGGGGATGGTGAGTCTTCTTAGGACAGGGAAGTCAGCCCTCTCATGCGCAGAACCCCTGTGGCACCTGGCCGGCCTTCACACCAGGTCTTCACACCCCTCATGAGACCAGCCAGGAAATGGGGGCCCCCAGGGGAGGCTGTATAGCCCAGTGCCAGGGAGAGCCCAGCACCCGCTGGGGAAGGCCATGCAGCCCAGTGCCCGGGAGAGACAGGAACCCCCTACAGGAAGGCAGTGCAGCCCAGTGCCCAGGAGAGATGGGAACCCCCCAGGGAAGGCCGTGCAGCCCAGTGCCCAGGAGAGATGGGAACCCCCCAGGGAAGGCCGTGCAGCCCAGTGCCTGGGAGAGACAGGCACCCCCCAGGGAAGGCCGTGCAGTCCAGTGCCCGGGAGAGACAGGCACCCCCCAGGGAAGGCCGTGCAGTCCAGTGCCCGGGAGAGACGGGCACCCCCTTGGGAAGGCCGTGCAGCCCAGTAACCCCCAGGAAGGCCATGCAGCCCAGTGCCCTGGAGAGCTGGTGCCCTGTGACTGGGGTGGGGAAGGGGCTACGCGGGGCTTGCCTGAGTCCTCCTCCCTCCACCCGCACCCAGAGACCTTCATGGGAGACACCTCCTCTCCAGGACCCCAGGGGCAGGGGTGATACTGCAGAGGTGGCTCTGGGCTTCCTCCCCCTCCCCTGCCAGGTTCTGCTTCACTCTTGCAGCCTGGGCAGGGGCGTGGGGTGTGGAAGGAGAAGCGAGTGGCCCCTTATCTTCAATCCTTGCTGGAAGCTGCAGTCCCTGAGCCTAACCGGGCCACAAGAATGCAGAACCAGCTGAAAAGAGGCCAGGGCCACTGCCCTCTCCCCGCCCTTGGCGCCAGCATGGCGGCCACGATCTTTCTGGTGCCGCGGTCTCTGACTCTGTGGGAAGAAGCATCCCCGGACTTGCCTCTCTCCTCAGAGCCCCAGTTCCATGGAGGGAAGGTGGCTTCCATGCCTGTCTCTGGGAGTTTTCCTTAAGCAGCTCCTGGAAGGGTGCAGTGGCGTCTCCTGCTGCGGTGACAGTTCCCCTGGGATGTGGAAGGTCCCAGGCTTTGGAGAACTCTCCCGGAGCAGAGGCCTCCGTCCCCCCAGGGGACGGGCTGGGCTCCGATTTGGGGGCCCACATGCATGAGTGAGCAAACACCCCAGAGGGTTGGGAGAGCGTCCGTTCGTGCTGGCGGCAGCTGTGTGCTGATGCTCCAACATGCTCCGCCTGGGCATCCAGCACGCCTTAAGTGAGCTGGAGAGGGGTGTGGACGAGGATGAGGGCTCTCCTGGGGTGAGGGTCCCTCTTCAGTGCCACATCCATGCAGACCCGTGTAGACCCAGGCTTTTTCTCCATAGCCAGGTGGGCTTTATTTTTCCTTAAACATCTTAGGTGGTTCTCAAGTAATCGGAGGCTCGTCTGCTTTTCATGCTAGCGGTGCAATGCCCCATTTTATCGTGTGTCTAAAAGGCGTCCCTGGTCCCGCATTTTTCCTAGTTTCCTCAGTTACCTCCTGTGACCATTTGCTGTAATGAAAGCTGGAAGGAGAGCTCCGTGCTGTACCCACCCACTTCTGTGAAAAGTGGGAACAAGAACACAGATTTGGAACCAGTGCTGTGCTTTTGTGTTTTGGTAAATTGTCTTTACCTTCCCTGAGCTGTTTTCTTCCATTCCTGCGGGATTGGATTCAATTCTATTTGATGGTGATGGCTGTGGACAGTACTAAGTGCCCTCCGAGCTTCTACAGTGGAGCAGCCTGCTCAGTGTCCAGGCCCCGGAGCCCGCGTTGGGGCTGCGGTCCCAGTGCCCCTGCCACTGTGTGGCTGTCGGCATGGTCCAGCTGGCCTGTGGCTTCGGTGCTTGGAGGGCTGTGGCAAGGGCTGTCTGTGCCTGGCGCGTGGTAAACATTCTATCAGTGTGTTGTTTATTATTATTTGTATGGTTATTGGGGTTCTCCTTTAATTTATCAATTATGTTGACAGAATTTGTGATATAACGATGCCCATCCATTCCTAAAATGAATCCCATTAAGATATTGTCTGATTAGTCTTCATATATACTGCTGATTGCATTTGTTCATATTTGATTTGGAACATGAGTTGGAATTTCTGTCTAGGTAGAAGCTGGAATTGCTGGGTCACAGCATGCGCCCACCATCAACCTTCCTGGGTGGCACCGAGTGGCTTTCCTCGGTGATACGGGCGAGCGGGGCGGGTCATCTGGTGTCATGTGCTCTCCCACGCTTCCTGGAGCAATTTTTGTTGGGCTGTGTCTTTACCTCTGGGGGCTGTGGGGTGTGTGCTGCGACTTTCTCCTGCCTCTACCTCCTGGCTGATGCGCTCACTCCACTGCCCTTTGGATCACGGATTGGCCATGAGGGTGTCCCTCTGGGATGTGCCTTTTCAAGACCTCTGCCCACTCCTCTGTGAGCAACCCAGAAATATTCTCTGCATAGGAACCCCTTGTCATTAAACAACTGCATGTACCTTGTCTCACTTGTGGCCTGTATTTCTGTCCCCTCACAGTGTCAGTTGACCCAAACAAAATCTTAATTCTAACGTGGTTTATCATTTCAGCCTTTTTCTTAACAGTCAGAGCTTTCTGGTGTCTGAAAACTCTGCCCTTCTCCCCCGCCTCCCAGCTCTGTGTAAATCTCCCCTGCCTCCCAGCTCTGTGTAAATGGTGTCCTGTGCTGTCTTTCAGACGCTGTGTCGTTTATGCTTCCCCTTGAGACGCACAGCACCCAAGTCCCCGTGAGGGTGGATTGATGAGGGGGTTCAGGTTTCATTTTATTCACCTGCCCGTGCAGGGGACCACGCGCTGGGTACTGAAAGGCCTTCCGCTCTGCCCATGTCTGTGCGCACCTGTTTTTCATGACCTTCTGTTGAATTATTCCATGGTCTACATGTCTGGTTTTTGTTGTTGTTGTCGTTGGGTTTTCTTGTTTGTTTGTTTTTTGAGACAGGGTCTCGCTCTGTCACCTAGGCTGCAAAGCAGTGGTGCAACCTCAGCTCACTATACCCTCCACCTCCCAGGCAGCTGGGACTACAAGCGTGCGCCATCGTGCCTGGCTAATCTTCAAATATTTTGTAGAAACAAGGTCTCCCGATATTGCCCAGCCTGGGCTCAAGTGATCCACCCGCCTCAGCCTGCCTAAGTGCTGGGATCACAGGCGTGAGCCACCACGCCCGGCCCAGGCTGGGCTCAAGTGATCCACCCGCCTCAGCCTCCCTAAGTGCTGGGATCACAGGCGTGAGCCACCGCGCCCGGCCCGCTTGTCTATTCTTATGCCACTGTCAAATGAGCTACATTGCTGCAGCTTCATGTCTAGATCTCTAGTAAAATAAATCGGCTCACTTTGACCTTTTTCCTCAGGATATTCTTGAACTGATTAATTTTTCCTGTACATTTTAAAATCAGCTTGTCTATGGAATTAATCTGTAGATCAAAATTGGGAGAATTAACATTTTAAATTATGGAGAGTTCGAGTCAATGAAAAATATGTTTTCTAATTCTCGGATCTTCTTTAATTGCTCTTTATGATGCTTTATAATTTCTACATAGAGGTTTCACACATCTTTTGTTGGGTCTATCCCAACTCTTTGCCTTCTTTCTGATGGCCTTATACATGGTATCTTCTTCTTCTTTTCTTTTTTTTTTTTTTTTTGAGACAGAGTCTTGCTCTGTCGTCCCGGGCTGGAGTGCAGTGGCGCGATCTCGGCTTACTGCAACCTCGGGCTCCCAGGTTCAAACGATTCTCCTGCTTCAGCCTCCCGGAGTAGCTGGGATTACAGGCACTTGCCACCACGCCCGGCTACTTTTTTGTATTTTTAGTAGAGAGGGTTTTGCCATGTTGGCCAGGCTGGTCTCCAATGCTGTCTTCTTTTAAGATTTGATTTTCCGTTGCTGGCTGGTGTGGGGATGTGGAGCGCCCTCACCCTGTGAAGGCATCCCTTCCCGTCACTGTGTCGGTCCCTGTGGTTTTCGCTGCCCGTGTCCCCTGTGCTGCTGCTCCTTGCTGCTGGCCTCTGGCTGTGTCACCAGCTCTGGAGTGGCCCTAGACTCACGAGAGAGCATGCAGGTCCCAAACCGAGAGTGGCTGGAGGCAGGAGTGCTGCAGGAGTGCCTGGGCCAGCCCCCTGTCCAAGTAGGGAGCTCTGCCCAGCTCCCAAAAGAGCCTCCTCACAAAGCCAGTCACTGAGCCCGAGCAGCGCGGTCGCCCCTGACGCGGCACCTTCCTTCCAGGCTCCTACCTGGCTCAGGGCGTCCAGCGGCAGCCAGACAGGCTGGGGGCCCCTCCATGTTGCGCGCTCCGGCTGACTCACCGGGGCTGGGGGCCCTTCCACGCGGCGCGCTCCAGCTGACTCACCGGGCCTGGGGGCCCCTCCGTGCTGCGCGCTCCGGCTGACTCACTGGGGCTGGGGGCCCCTCCGTGCTGCGTGCTGCGGCTGACTCTCTGCTGCACATGTGCTGGCAGCTGTTCCAGGTTGCCACATCCTGGGATTATCTTTTCCAGTAAACTGTGGGGTCAGCAGGCCCAGTACTCGCCTTGCTGCTGCTTTTCACCCCCTGCACCATGGGGATGCATTGGGTCAAGTCACACAACGTCAGAAAACTCAAATTCGATTAAAAACTCAGGTCTGCTACTGGGCTCCTGGGAAAGTGCAGAGTCAGTTGGGGCCACTCTGGCAGGCTGCAGTGCCTCTGCTTCCCCCTGGCTCAGCCTGCCCACACCAGCTTCCCCCAGGGGTCTTGGGACATCTACCAGCAATGGCCAGGGTGACGTCCCTCCCTGTCCAGGGCGAGAGCAGGACAGATACTGTCTCTGATGCCCTCCCAGTGAGCTGGGAAGTACCGCTCATTCGCAGCCTCTCCTCCTCATGCCCACTGACCCTGAGGCTACAGGGAGGTTGACCTTTGCTTCCTTCCAAGAGGGTTAAACTTCTACTGTTCACTTCTGGATCTTTCACCTATATAGGACACACATTTGAGGGCGAGGTGGGATCCGATGTTGATTTTCGGCTGTCTGGATCCCCCACTGCTCCAGCCCACAGCCAATTTCTCCACCAGACTGTGAGCCACTTGCAGACAATGGCTGTGCCCATGGCCCCGCATCCCCGGTGCCGTGTGGGAACTGAGGAAAGGTGTGGGGTGAGGAATGTTCCCGCTGGACCCTTTTTCATGGGCCAGTAGGATGTCCCTGCTGCGTTCAGCTTCCCACTAAGACTAGAGGGCCCGTGGAGCCTGAGATGTTGTGTGCAGCACCAGGGCACCGATGGAGCGGTCAGGGGCCAGAACCTGCCCTTAGGCAGGCGAGTCCACGTGCATCCATCACAGCCAGGACAGTGTCAGAGCCCAGACTTGACTCAGCTCTCAGGGTGGCCTACCCTGTCTCTCATCAGAGATATTACGAATCCCGAAATGAGCATTTGAAAGAATTGGAACATTTGTAGGAGGCACACTCTTACGTGGTTCCCAAAGGTGGGACTAAGGAACACTGGCACCATGAGGGAGCCTGGCTATGGTCAGGAAAATTCAGCATCTTCCAGACATGAGACCAGTGTGGCTGGGCCGCTGGAGCAGGGGAAGGTGAGCGGTCACTGTTCCCCACTGGCACCTTTGTCTGCCTTGACGCTGAGTAGCAGGGGAGCAGGCTGTTCAGAATGCTCGCCGAGGCCAGGCTGTGTAAGCCCTGGATGGCCTCCGAATGCCGCCTGTGACAGGCAGGAGCATGAAATTCCAGAAGCCTCCCCTGCCCTGGGTAGCCTCAGGGACATGAAGTGCATGTGAGGCTCTCAAGGAGAATGTGGCAGCTAATCTGCCCTGTCATTTCCGCCGTCCTGGCCTCGTGCAGCCTGATGCAGGCACTGAGCTGTTAAACAGGATAAATCAAGTAGGGGCTGCTGCCACCCACCCCGCACTGTGTTCCCTCCCACAGTCACATCCCCCAGACAGCTGAGGCCGTGAGTGCAGCCCTGGACAGAGCACAGCTAACGGGGGTATGGCCAGAGCCGCTGGCTGCGACAGCGCTCGCTGCGGCTGCGAGGACCCCAGATGGCGCTTTGCTGGCAAGGCTTCTCCCGCCTTCTCGGGGCAAGCAGTGGCACACAGGAGAGAGCTCAAGGCGCCTGCTGCCAGCCGCACTCACAGCTGTGTGACCGCCCTTCTACACTCCAAGGCATCTCTATGTTAATATCCAAACCTATTCATCCATCCCCCAGCAAACAAGCCTTACAACTTGGGCCTCACATGACACTTTCAAACGTGGGTCTCTTCCTTTCGGGTCTGACGGGATGTCATTCACTGTTATTTTTGGCATGAAAATAGATGATGGATTACCTCTCTGGTGGTCGGGAACCTAGGCCTGGAGCCAGCTGGTCACAGTTCAGGGTCATCGCACTGTGTCACCTCGTGTAAAACGGAGGAAGAGCTCGCCCTACTGTGTTAGGACAGCCTGGATTTATATATGGAAAAACATGGGGCTGTGGCCCTGTGTGGCCGCTGTTTCATTACACATCACTTCTTACTAGGGCAGTATTCATTTTACTAGCATTCTGTTGATTTGAATATTTTTTTAAAAAAAGAGTAACTGGCAAATTTATCAGAATTTATAGTGGTACCAGTTTTAAACAGATTTTGCCAATTTAATCAATATAAAGATGAAATGGCCAGGTGCAATGGCTCACGCCTGTAATCCCAACACTTTGGGAGGCCGAAGCAGCCAAATCACCTGAGGTCAGGAGTTTGAGACCCGCCTGGCCAACGTGATGAAACCCCATCTCTACTAAAAATACAAAAAATTAGCCGGGTGTGATGGTGGCACGCCTGTAGTCCCAGCCACTCAGGAGGCTGAGGCGGAGGAATTGCTTGAACCTGGGAGGTGGAGGTTGCAGTGAGCTGCTGTACTCCAACCTGGGCAACAGGAGTGAAACTCCGTCTTAAAAAAAAAAAATTAAATGAGGCTTTGATTCTGGTCAAATGGAGTGGGGGTACACCCCCCTGCCCCTCCCACTGAGCACAGCTGGGACTTCTGCACAGAGTGCTGGAGCAGCTCCCTTGGGACCGGGAGGCGGCAGTGGGAGCAGGCTGGAAAGGAGTCCAGCCCAGCAGGGAGCTTCCTGTGTCCTCACTGCCCTTGCCACATGGCCTGGACTCCAGGCAGCCACATACCCAGAAGTGCAGCCACAGAGAAGCTCCGCATTTCTGTCTGAGGATGGAGAGGGAGCTCCTGCTGGTTGGCATTTGCTCCACCTTCCAGTCTCTCCCATCCTCACCCCCAGGCGATCCTGTGGCAGCAGTGGCTTTGAGGGCACAGCAGCCTGACAGGCTGGCAACGCACAGGGGCAGAACTTTTCTCTCCCACCAGAGGACCTGTGGTCTCAGAGAATGAAGGGGCCCTCCCAGGGCCATTTCCCATCCCTGCCCTCCGGGGTGGGGGGGTCCTCCCGGGGCTGTTTCGTGTCTCTGCCCTTCTGCCTCTTGGCCTTAGACAGGATGCAAGTGCAGTAAGTTTCTGGCACTGTGGCAAAAGCCAGGCCCTGGTCAGAAAGCCCTGGAGATCACAGAGAGGGGCGAGTTTGAAAAGGGGATTTCATGAAGTTGTGTGTGCATTCCTGGGCACTGCCTGCCCTCTCTACGTCTGGGTCTGACCACAGACAGTACAGCAAAGGCTTTGACAAGGGGACTGCAGGGTTGATGGCCCCCAGGTCCCAGCCGGGCACTGGGTGGCACACACGTGGCACAGAGCTAAACAGCGGTGCAGAAGCTCTCAGAACAGAACAGACATTGGAGCCACAGCCCACAGAGGCTTTGGAACTAACTAGAACCACTGCCCGATAAAATAAAAATGTCGTGGTTCTGCATAAGATTTAAGTGATAACTGGAGTGTTACGACAATATTCAAACAGACCAGAGGACAACTCGACGTCCGTACTCAGCATAGGAAGAAATAGGAACCCTCAGCCTCTCCAGCTGGGAAATGAGCAACACACACCAACCTGGGATCCTTCCTGGTGGAGGATCCACAAGATCTTCAGAGCAGCTGCGCCACCGTGCTCCAGGAGGAAGGGTGAGCCCTCTCAAAATGAATGGAAAAATAGGAACTCTACGCAGGGAAAGCGAAGGTTTTGTTTGTTTGTTTGTTTGAGTGAGACAGGGTCTCACTCTGTCACCCAGGCTGGAGTGCAGTGGTGCAATCTCAGCTCACTGCAGCCTCCATCTCCCAGGCTCAAGCGATCCTCCCATCTCAGCCTCCCAGCAGCTGCAACCACAGGTGCAGCCACCACACCTGGCTAATTTTTAAAATTTTTCGTAGAGATGAGGTCTCTCTGTGTTGCCCGGGCTGGTCCTAAACTCCTACACTCAAGCGATCTGCCTACCTCAGCCTCCCAAAGTACCGGGTTTACAAGCGTTAGCCACTGCGCCTGGCCAAGGAAATAGATTTAAAGAATAAAATGGAAATTTTAGAACTAAAAAATCTAATAACCAGAATGAAAAATTCATGATGTAGACTCAATAACAATGGAAGTGACAGGGCACAGCGTCAGCAAACACGAGGACAGCTCAGTACAAATGATCCATGCCGAGTGATAGAAAAAGGACTGGGAGAAATGAATGGAGCTTCCGAGACCTGCAGACAATGCAGACACCACAGTACACGTGGTTTTTATGTGCACATGGGATGTTCCCCAAGGCAGGTCATATTCCATGTAAAAAACTAAAGCCTAACAAATTTAAAATAATTTAAATCATATAAAATGTATTTTCTGGCCACAGTAGAATTAAACTATAAATCAATAACCAGAGATAACTGGAAATTTTCCAAATACTTGAAAATCAAAACACACACCTCTAAATAATGCCCTAGTCAAAGAGGAAGTATAAAAAAATTAGAAAATACTTTGAAGTAAGAGAAAATGAAAAAAAACCTATAGGATACTAGTAAATCAGTGCCTCTAGAGAAATTTATAGCATGACAGCATCCATTAGAAAAGAAGAAAGGTCTTCAAACAATAATGTAAGCTTCCACTTGAAGAAACTTTAAAAAAAGAAAACAAAACAAGCAGAAGGGAGTAAATAATCAAGACCCAAACCCAATGAAATTAAAAACAGAACTAAGCCTCTTCACATTGGAGTAGTTCAAATAAAGGAAGGACAGAAACAATCATGGGTTTCAAGAGCTTGCAAAACGGTGGCAGTTCTCTGCTGTCTGCGTTTGTTGTGTGGCGTGAGAGTCCATCCTGGTTTCGTGGCATTTTTCTCTGCATCCTTTTTATTGACAAGACGTTCCTGTCGTGAGTGGTTTTCCTCTGGCCTCTTCTGGGAGCTGGTGGATTTGCAAGTCACGGCCAGCCTTCGAAAGCAGGACTGTTGCCTGGTTCCCCAGTTGCCCTCCTGGAAAGCTCTACCCTGCTGGCCCTGGGCCTCGGAGGGGAGGGGAGCGCCTGGGGCGCCGCGGTCCTGACCCCACACAACTTCTTCTGCCATGGCCCAAACCCAGCCCTGTGCCGCCTCTGTGGGCCACAGGGACCCCCACAGCAGACCCCCAGCAAACCCTCAGTGACTGTCTGAATGAAAAACGCAGGAGTGGGTGGTGTGGGAGAAAATAGGATTACGGTGCTTCTGAGTATTGAGTTTAGAAATCGCTGAATTTCAGAACGTTCCACGAGGCCGTGGAAATTGAGCTGGGCTCAGTGCTCATGGTGTGAATCTGTCTAATCCTTAAATACATACTGCGCCCCCTTGTGGGCCAAGAGTGGTGCTGGGAACTGGGGATTCAGTGGTGAACGGAGGAGACACGTGTGCCCTCTGCCCTCTCGGTGCCAGGGTGGCCCCAGGTGACTGCAGCAGGGCCAGGAGAGACGGGGTTGTAGGTACAGCCTGGTAGGCAATACCCTCCAGAAGAAGGTCCTGATAAGTGGGTGGGAGAACTCACCCTGTCCCTGCCACGGAAGCCAGGGAGCCAGCGGGAGGGCAGGGAGCAGTGACAAACAAGACCAAGGGGGTAGGTGCTGGGCTCTGGACGGGAGGCTCAGGGCCGGGGTTAAACAGCACAGCAGTGGGAAGGTACCCAGGGGCTTCAGCACGGGGTGAGTCCAAGCTTAGAAGCTCACTGGCAGCGTCAGGCAGCTCATGCCCAGCCAAGTGCTCCTGAGTGGACATGCCTGGGCCAGCTGCGGGCCACAGCTGTGGCTGCTTTCCTGGCTGGCCTTCATCAAGCTGAGCGAGTTCCCCTCTATTCCTGTTTTTTTCTGAGCATTTTAATTTTTATCGTGAGTTGGTATGGAGTTTTGTGACAGGCTTTTCTGCATGCATTGATATGATTGTGTGCTTTCTTTAGTCTGTTAATAAGGTAGATTACACAGACAGATTTTCCAACTCTGAGCCAGCCTTGCATCACAGGAAGAATGGTTATAGCATGTAATTCTTGTGGTATATTGCTGAATTCTATGTGTTCATGTTTTTTGTGTGTGAAATTATTAAATCAAGCTAATTAACATATCCATCACCTCACATACCTTTGTTTGTGGTGAGGTTCGAGTGATCCTCCCACCTGTCTCCCAGGAGTTGAGACCACAGGTGCACTCCACCACACCCAACTAATTTTTTCAACATTTTGTAGAGATGGGGTCTATTTTGCCCAGGCTGGTCTTGAACTCCTAGACTCCAGTGACCTGCCTACCTCAGGCAACAGCCTAGGCAACATAGAGAGACCCCATCTCTATAAAGAATTTAAAATCACTCTCAGCAATTTTCAAGTATACATTGTTCTTACCCATAGTCACTGTGCCACACAGCAGCTCCCCAGCCTGTTTGACTCCCGTCTAACTGAACTTGTGCCAGTGACCAACAGCTCCCATTTCCCCCAACCCCCCGCAGTCCCCGACAGCCACCTCCCACCCTCTGCTTCTGTGAGATGCACTTTTTTAGATTCCACATGTGAGATCATGCAGTATTTGTCTTTCTGTGCCCAGTTCATTTTACTTGTTATAATGTCCTCCAGGTTCATCCGCAGTGACACAGATGACATGGCTTCTTTCTGTGTGTATGTCTGTGTGTGACATTTTCTTTATCCGTTCGTCTCTCTATGAACACTTAGGCTGATTCCACCATATCTAGGCTGTTGTGAGTTGTGCCACAATCAACACGGGCCTGCATGTGTCTCCTCACTATAGTGACTTTGGGTATATGCCCTGAAGTGAGACTGCTGGATCCTGTGGTGGTTCTATTTCTAGTTTTTTGAGGAACTTCCGTACCGTTCTCCATAATGACTGTACTAAGTTTCCCATCAGCACTGTACAAGGGTTCCCTTTTGTCCACCTCCTCACCAACACTTAGCTTTTGTCTTTTTGATAATAGCCATTCTAACAGGTATGAGCCGATATCCCATTGTGGTTTGAATTTGCATTTTTCTGGTGATTAGTGATGTTGTGCACTTTTTCATATACCTGTTAGCCATTTGTATGTCTCCTTCTGAGAAGCTTCCATTCCGTTTCTTTGCCATTTTTTTAAAATCTGGTATTTGTTTTCTTGCTATTGAGTTGTTTGAGTTCCTTACACATTTTGAGTATTAACTCCTTATCAGATGTTGTATGGTTTGCAGTTTTTTTTCCAGTTCCCTAGGTTGTCTCTTCACTCTGTTGTTTGCTGTGCAGAAGCTTTTCAGTTTGATATAATCCCATTTCTCTACTTTCTGCTTTTGTTGCCTGTACTTTGAGGGCCATATTTAAAAAAAAATCATTAACTAAACCAGTGTCGTGGAATTTTTCCCTGTGTTTTTTCTTAGTGGTTTTGCAGTTGCAGATCTTACATTTAAGTCTTTAACCCATTTTGAGTTGATTTTTATAGATGGTGTGAGATGAGGGTCTAATTTCATTCTTCTGCACAGGGACATCCAGTTTCCCCAACACCGTTTATTGAAGAAACTGTCCTTCCCCGTGTGTGTTCCTGGTGTCTTTATTGTAGATGGATTGGCTGCAGCTGCGGGGTTTCCTGCCAGGCTCTCCGCTCTCCTCCACCGGCCTGCATGTCGTTCTTACACCAGCGCCAAGTTCTGGTCTTTAGTATTTCATTCCTCTGCTTACTTGGATTTATTTTGTTCTTCTTTTATTAGATTCTTAAAATGAGTGCTTAGATTATTGATTGGAAGCTTTTCTCTCTTCAAATGTGTGTGTTTCGTGCCACAGGTTTCCCTCTCAGCACTGCTGTAGTTGTGTCCTGCGATTTTTGATATGCTGTGTTTTTATTTTCATTCAGGTCAATGTGTTTTTTGATGTTCCTTGAGATTCCCTCTTTGACCCTTGGATTGTTCATATATGTGTTTCATTTCCAAGTGCTTGGAACTTTTCTTGTTATCTTTCCATGATTGATTCTGGTTTGAGTCAGCTGTGGTCAGAGAACATACACTACGGTTTCAATTCTGTTAAATTTGCTGAGGTTTCTTTTATGGCCAAGGGTATGGTCTATCCTGGTATAGATTCTGTACATGCAGGAAGAGAGTGTGGATTCTGCTGATGCTGGACAGAGTGTTCCGGAAGTGTTCGTTAGGCCCCGTTGGTTGATGGTGTTGAGTCCTTCCAAATCCTTTGCTAATTCTCTGCCCAGTGGTTCTTTCAGTTGTTGACAGTAATAAAGTCTTCAGCTGTCGTTGTGGATTTTTATATTTTTCTTTTCACTACTATTAGTTTCTGCTTCACATATTTTACAGCTCTGTTATTTGATTCATACACATTTAGGATTGCTATTGCTTATTTAGACTCTTTTATCATTATGTAATGTCCTTCTCTGTCTCTGATCATTTTCATTGCTCTGACGTCTATTTTTTCCGATATTAATATAGCCATTCCTGCTTTCTTTTGATTAATGGTTGCACGATACGCCTTTTCCCATTAGTTTATCTTCAGTTTGCTTATATTGTTCTATTTGAAGTGAGTTTTCTGTAGACAGCATATGATGGGGTCATATTTTTAAATCCACTCTGCCCATCTGTGCTTCAATTGGTGTATTTGGACCATTTATACTTAAAGTTATTACGGTATTGAGATGTTAGGGCTTAAATCTGCCATTTCACCTTTTATTTATCTTTTGTATTTATTTATTTTGAGATAGGGCCCTACTCTGTCATCCAGGCTGGAGTGCAGTAGTGTGATCATGGCTCACTGCAGCCTCTTCTGGGCTGAAGTGATCCCCCCACCCCAGCCTCTCAAGCAGCTGGGACCACAGGCATGCACCACCATGCCCAGCCAATTTATTTTTATATTTTGTAGAGACTAGGTATTCCTGTGTTGCCCAGGCTGGCCTTGAACTCCTGGGCTCAAGTGATCCTCCCACCTTGACCGCCCAAAGTGCTGGGATTACAGGCGTGAGCCATCGCACCCAGCCTCATTTTTAATTTTGTTGGCTTTGTTTTTTGTTTCTCTGGTTTTAGTTTTTTCTTTCTTCCTGTGAGTCAGTGTACATTTTTTTGGAATTTTATTTTATCAGTAGCATTTTAGAGTATATATCTGTATGGCTTTCTTTTTTAGTGCTTGCTGTAGGTAGTATATCATATATATACACACATACTGAATACTAAGTATATAGCATATATATACACACACAAATATATATATGTAGCACATGTATATACACATGTATACATACACATATATAACATACACATATGCAACATGCATGCACATCTAAATATACATATATGTCACGTGTGTGTGCATGTATAATGTTTGAGACAGGATCTTGCTCTGTTGCCCAGGCTGGAGTGCAGTGACACGATCATGGCTCACTGCAGCCTCGACTAACCAGGCTCCAGCCGTCCTCCCACCTCAGCCTCCCCAGTAGCTGGGACCACAGACAGGCACCACCACACCCAGCTAATTTTTTAAATTTTTTTGTAGAGACAGGGTTTTGCCATGTTGCCCAGGCATATATGTGTTACCAATTCTACTGCTGTCAACATTTCACCAGTTGGAGGGAAGAAACTGTAACTTCCTTTATAATTTTTTTACTGTCCCTCATTTATGATGTAGTTGCTTTAAATATTTCCTAAGCATTCTGTACATATCAGACAATGCTGTAATTTTTGCATCAGTCATCAATCATAGTTTAGAGGACTCGAGAGTGAAGCCTTTCTATGCACTCACATGTTTGCCTACTATGTTCTTTCTTCCTTCCTGATATTCCAAGATTTCATCATTATTTCATTTCTGTTTAGAGGACTTAGGCCTTCTCCCAGCGTAGGCACGCTGGCAGCAACTTCTCTTCATTTTCCTTCATCCCATAATGTCTTTATTCCTGATTATTTTCACTGGATATATCATTCCAGTTGGCACTTCTGTCCTTTTCAGCACTGAGCAGTTCGGGGCCACGTCCTCCTGGCCTCCGTGCTTCTCGCCTGAAATCCACGCCATCCATTGTCTCCCTCCTGTAGCATGGGGTCATGTCCCTCTTGCTGCTTGCAAGAATTATTCTTTGCCTTTGGTTTTTAGACTCTTGACTACAATGTGTGTTTGTGTGGATTTCCTTGGATTTATCCTGTTTGGGGTTTACTCAGCTTCTCAAATATGTAGGTTTTTACTTTTTGCCAAATTTGGGAAGTTTTAGCCATTATTTTTTCAAGAGCCTTTATCCCCATCCCCTTTGTTCTCTTTTTCTGGTACCCTAAGGACATGAATGTTAGGTCCTCCCCATGTCCCACAGGTCTCAGGGGCCCCATCTGTGTGTCTTCGGTCTGTGTTCTCCCTCTTGTTGGGACGGGGTACTTTCTGTTGTTTTTTCTCACAGCTCCCTGCTTCTCTCCCCTGACTCTTTCACTCTGTTATGGTTCTTTCTAGTTCTGTCGTTCCCTTTCAGTTGCCTGCATCTCCCATTAGCTTGGTGGGAACTGGCTTCTCTGTGGAGGTATTCTATTCTGTTTTCTCATTTGTTTAAAGAGTGTTCCTGCTTGTTTGCTGAAGCATTTTTATGAAGGCTGCTTTCACTTCTTTGTCAGAGGATTCCGACAGCTCTGTCATCCTGGGGCTGACACTGTCTTTCATTCAGTTTGAGATCTTTTGGGTTCTTTGTATAACAGGTGATTTTCTTTTTGAAATCTGGACCTTCTGGATATTACGTTATGAGACTCTGGTTATATAAACCTTCTGTTTAGCTGGCTGCCTCTGATACTTCTCCAGCAGGGGAAACAAGAAGTGAAAGTCCAGGCTTTCCACTCGGCCTCTGCTGGTACCAAGGGCAGAGGACGTGGTGAGGTGTGGAGGAGGCCTCATTGCCGCTGGTACCAAGGACAGAGGACATGGTGAGGTGTGGAGGAGGCCTCGTTGCCGCGGGTGCCAAGGGCAGAGGACGTGGTGAGGTGTGGAGGCCTCATTGCTGCGGGTGCCAAGGGCAGAGGATGTGGTGAGGTGTGGAGGAGGCCTCATTGCCGCGGGTGCCAAGGGCAGAGGATGTGGTGAGGTGTGGAGGAGGCCTCATTGCCGCTGGTGCCAAGGACAGAGGACGTGGTGAGGTGTGGAGGCCTCATTGCCGCGGGTGCCAAGGGCAGAGGATGTGGTGAGGTGTGGAGGCCTCATTGCTGCGGGTGCCAAGGGCAGAGGATGTGGTGAGGTGTGGAGGAGGCCTCATTGCCGCGGGTGCCAAGGGCAGAGGACGTGGTAAGGTGTGGAGGAGGCCTCATTGCCTCTGGTACCAAGGGCAGAGGATGTGGTGAGGTGTGGAGGAGGCCTCATTGCCGCTGGTACCAAGGGCAGAGGACGTGGTGAGGTGTGGAGGAGGCCTCATTGCCCCGGGTACCAAGGGCAGAGGATGTGGTGAGGTGTGGAGGAGGCCTCATTGCCGCTGGGCAAGGGTGGGAGCTCTGGGGCCCTGGAGGCCTGTGCAGAAACCTCCCTGCTCAGAGGAGGGGGCTCCCTCATTACTGACCCCGCATTGCCTCCACTGACACCAGGGGGCAAGGACTCACCACCTGTGGAGATGAGAGCCTCTGTCCCTGCTCAGCCTGCTCTGAAGCCACCCCCGCATGGGGTTCGGGAGCCTCTTGACAGCCTGGTGAGGGCGGAGGTCTAGGCTCTGTACGCGGCCTTTGCTGCGTGGGTGGGGAGGGGCACCGTGTCCTCCGTGGTGCCTGGTGGAATAAAGGAGCTGCTGCTCAACATTTCCAGCCTCACTGTGCTGTCCCTTCACTGACCCTTCGGCTGCAGAAAGCAGACTTTTGTTGAGGCCCTTTTCTTGTCTGTGCCTGTTGGCATTTCCGGCTTGCCAGCTTTTCCACTTCCAAGTCTGAGAGACATAGAGAAAGCCCAGGGGTTCACCACCACGCTGTTCCCTGTGTGCCCTGGTCCCTGGCTAGTCTGCCTTTCCTACGCATTTCAGTCTTCTTGTGTTTGTTGTGGATACAATATCCAGGCTGTTTTGTTGTTTTTAGCAGGAAGGATTGGGAAGCACTGTGTGCTCCATTTCCCAGAAGCAGCAGCCTTGCCACTCCTTTTGTGCATGTGGCATCTGAGAGCACAGATGCCGGAGCTGCTGGGGCTGCGCCAGCTTTGCCCTGCTCAGCTGCGTCACCAGAGCAGGCCCTCCAGCCTCTCCAGCATCAGTCCTTCCATCTGTAAGACAGGGTGATGGTGGCTCCACACCTCATTCAGTTGGAGGGACAAGTAAAGGCATCAGCAGACACCAGCTGCTGAGGACAGGCCCAGCCAGAAGCAGACAGGAGCTCTGTGGCATGGGGGACACTGTCACCAGTGGCCTCGTTCCCCAGCTGTGCACACGTTGGTGTTGGTTTCCACTGGGCACCCAGGCAAACAGCGTCGCCATTCCGGGCACCTACTTTTTGAATGTCTGTGCCTTTTGTGGGAGAAGAGATTTCTGCAAACGTAATTTCTAGTTTAAAGTTGGCAAGCATTTTAGGCTATTGGTGCATCCTGCCAGGTCGCCCTTTATAGAGGCTGCAACTACTACGCACTCCCTAAGCTTCCCGGAGAGCCCTGGCTTCGTGACGACCTCACTGTTGTCACAGCTGCTCTTATCAATAGATGTCTAGTACCAGCCCACGGCGAAGAGAGACGAGCCAGACTCTGGAAGGTTGGGCCGCCTTTCCCTGACCTGCCCTTGCAGCTGTGCTTGCAGCTCTGTCCTCCGGGGATGGCCCTGCATCGCTGCTGACCCATGGGCATTTCCGGAGGGGGCTAACGGTTCTCAGGGTCTCTCCTCAGGAGCACTGGGGTCCTCACACTCTGCTGGGTACCTGTCCTGGCCGTGTACGAATCCCAGGGAGGCCGCACAGGGCAGGGGGGTCTGCCCTAGCTGAGCCCTGCTCTGAGCCGGGCCCTCCTCCTGCTCCTGCAGCTCTTGAGTGTCACCTGTTTCTGTTACTGTAATAATGACATCTCCTTTCTTGGGAAGGCACCTTGCTTACCTGTTTTTCTTCAAGGATAGCACAGAGCCTAAAGCTTAGTGACTGCCTAGGAAATATTTGTTAAAATAATCAAGTTATTAATTAATAACTGGCGTTACCTCCAGAGTGGATTTCAGTCTGCTCCTTGCATTTATGGGTGCCCGCGGGTGGGAACCGGGGCTAGAGCAGCTCACCCTGCTCCTGTAGTCCCACCTCCCACGCCACAGCAGGGTGAACTGGCCCCTCACTCACCTGGGTCTCCCAGCCGGGGCCACCCACACGCCACCGCACACAGCACCTTCCCCACGGCAGATGCCTGCTCCGGGGCAGGGCCCTGCTCCACAGCGACACAGCACGTGATACCACAGGCAGCTTTCCTCCCGCCAGCCTCCTGTGTGCAGCTTCAGTGCTTTTAGACCCGCAATTGGAGCTGAATTCTTAAATCCCTGGTGGGTTTTGAGTGAAGCTGAAATGAATAAACATGTTCCACACGTGGACAGTATCTATACATGGAATGATTATAAAGTTTGCACATCAAATCACACGTGGACAGTATCTACATGGAATGATTGTAAGGTTTCCACCTTAAACACACGTGGACAGTATCTATACATGGAACGATTATAAAGTTTGCACATTAAATCACACATGGACAGTATCTACATGGAATGATTGTAAGGTTTGCACATTAAACACACGTGGACAGTATCTATACATGGAATTATTAGAAAGTTTGCACATTAAATAGCCCTTGTATGTTAGCTTCCTAAATACACCTTTATGGGCTCAATACCACTTTGCCATAAGCAAGTAAGTAAAGAAAGGAATCTTTCGTTCTGGCCCGTGCACTGTTGCATGACTGGAGCTGTGTTGATGCCCTCATCCTGGGTCTGTTTCGTCTGTGGAGACAAAGAGCGATGTGTGTGGGAGTGGGGGTTCAGGCAGGAGCGCTCACAGGGGCTTCAGAGACGGTGGAGTGGAGAGAGGAGCTGTTAAATGTAAGTGCCCCGAGCTGCCGTCAGCAGCTGCATGCGGGCCAGCAGCCTCTGATTTGCCTTCCTCCGACTGCAAAAGTCGTTAAATCACATCAAGCCTGGGGCCTGCTTAGAAGCTGTCAGGACCGTCTTCTCTACTGTTCCCCTGATGCCTCCATTGTGAAGACCCAGCCCAGCTCTGAATGCAGGGACAGCACCTGTGCTTCCTGGCAGATGCAGCTCAGAGCAGGAAACCTGGTCTCCACCTTGGGCAGACAGCAACGGTGCAGGCAGTGTGGTTGCCTGGCACCCCTTCCTCCCCTCCTCATGGCCAGGGCCACGGCCAGCCTCCTCCTCCCTTCTTCTGCAGCCCGCCCTTGGGAAAGGATGCTGTGGAGTTAGAGGCGGGGAGCTTCAGGCCTGGCTGCGTCTTTCCCTAGCTTGGGGACCTTTGAACAATTCCTGAGTCTCCCTGCCATGGCTCTTGTGGCAGTACATTGCGGTGGCTACAGATGTTTGTTGCCGTGAGTGCTGCTCAGCCCTCACGTGCTTGTCCATCTGCCTGTGGCACTGGCATCCAGGGAACAGCTTTCAAGTACATGGAGATTTCACCTGCAGCTTCTGATCCCCCCAGATTCTCTCCAGTGTGACTTTAAGGAAAAGATACTTATGAAAACCAAAGGGAGCTTTTAGAAGTCAGCGTAGCTCCGAGACGGAGGCCTGTTTCTGCTCTGTCTTGGAGCTGACAGTGGCTCCAGCCAATGACCCCATTCCTCCAGTAGCCCTCAGTAAGGAGTGCTGTGTCCCTGACCTCAGTACTTGGCCCATGCCAGGGGCTGGGACTGCGTCTGTCACTGCCAGGGTGGGAGACGTGGCCTCGCAGCTGTCTAAGGGGCAGTTTCCAGCAGCTACTCTGCTGCGGGAGAGAATGGAGCAGACAGGTCATGAGGCCAGCATGAGAGCATGGGGAGGGGTTCTGCCTGGCCACACCCTGCAACTAGACAACACTGCACGCCCGCTGGGCAGCACAGAAAAGGCTGAACAGACCAGCTGTTGGCGGGGCCGTGGAGGAGCTGCAGCTCTGTGCGCAGCTGAGGGAAATGTGGATAACAGAACCTGGAACTCGGTGCACTTAGGGGGATGTGGATAATACAACCTGAAACCCTGCGCTGCTGAGGGGAATGTAGATAATAGAACCTGGAACTCTGTGCACTGCTCAGGGGAATGTGGATAATAGAACCTGGAACTCTGCACAGCTGAGGGGAATGTAGATAATAGAACCTGGAACTCTGCACTGCTGAGGGGAATGTAGATAACAGAACCTGGAACTCCGCATTGCTGAGGGGAATGTAGATAATAGAACCTGGAACTCTGTGCACTGCTGAGGGGAATATAGATAATAGAACCTGGAACTCTGTGCACTGCTGAGGGGAATGTAGATAATAGAACCTAGAACTCTGCATTGCTGAGGGGAATATAGATAATAGAACCTGGAACTCTGTGCACTGCTGAGGGGAAGGTAGATAATAGAACCTGGAACTCTGTGCATTACTGATGGGAATGTAGATAATAGAACCTGGAACTCTGTGTGCTGCTGAGAGGAATGTAGATAATAGAACCTGGAACTCTGCACTGCTGCGGGGAATGTAGATAATAGAACTTGGAACTCTGTGCACTGCTGAGGGGAATGTAGATAATAGAACCTGGAACTCTGTGCACTCCTGAGGGGAATGTAGATAATAGAACCTGGAACTCTGCACTGCTGAGGGGAATGGAGATAATAGAACCTGGAACTCTGTGCATTGCTGAGGGGAATGTAGATAATAGAACCAGGAACTCTGCATTGCTGAGGGGAATGTAGATAATAGAACCTGGAACTTTGTTTACTGCTGAAGGGAATGTAGATAATAGAACCTGGAACTCTGTGCACTGCTGAGGGGAATGTAGATAGTGGAACCGCCGTGCCGCAGTCTTGAACAGTTTCTTAGGAAGTTCCACGTGCTGCTTCCGCAGGATCCAACCGTTGTGCTCCTAGGTGGTACCTGCAGGAAATGGAAGTGCTTCCATGAGAAGAACTGTGCACAAATGTCTAAAGCAGCTTTACTCGTGTATCCCGCCTTGCATACAGCTCGAATGTTCTTCACTGGTTGAGTGGAAGAGCCAGTGGTGGTTTTTTCCCACGGTGGAATTCTAAACAGAAAAGAACTGTTTATATGCTCAGCAGCGTGGATACATCTTCTATAAATACTAAGAGAAGCCAGACACAAAAGAATACTTACGACATGATTCCCTTTGTGTCGACTTCTGAAAGTCCAGGAGTCTATAGTGACCGCAAGTGGGCACCTGTCGGCGGGCAGTGGCGGGTGGAGTGGGAGCACGGACCACAGGGGACCAAGGACTGCAGGTTCCTGTGAGCCACTGTGGGACACCCCAGGGGTATACACGGGCAAGATTGTCACACTGTAGACTTGAAGTATGTGCAGCCTATTAACCATCAATGATACCTTTAAAAGGCCATGACACCACATTACACACGCAAGGTTAAACGGTGAGTCGGTCTGTGCCACTGCACGGGGCCATCAGAGCTCTCTCTGAGCGCCTCCTCCCCTGGCCCGGCCCCTTCTCCTGCACAGCCCCGGGGCCTCTGCGCCCCTTTGACCTCAGCCTCCTGGGCTGTCTCAATTGCCCTGTGCCTGTCACCCAGTGGGAGCAGCCCCTGAGTCAGGACGTCCACACAGCCTGCCTTCCACAGAGCACCACCGGCCTAAAATCACCACAGGGTCAGAATCTAATGTAAGGGGGGTTTATTCAAAGGCAGCTGGAGGCTGGCCCACCCAGAAACACCAGCTCCAGAGAAATGGAGTCCACCCTCGGGAGTAGGGAGGGGAAGGGTGCCCTCGGGCAGGCAGAGGCGGAGGCTTTTAGCAGGACCGCGGCGTCCTTCCTACGAGGTGGGCGCTGTCACAGCGTTTGATGGACGACGGGCAGTGCCTGCTTCAGGGAAGGGTGCATTTAACCTGTCAGAGGGTGCGGCAGTCACCGTTTCCTGTCTTCTGGTCCTTGCTTATCAGGACAAAGGGGAAGTTCCTCTACAAGGGTCATGAACTAAGAAGGCAGGAGGTTTCTGCCCCTGGCATTGGTTAATTCCCTCCAGTCATCGTGCAGAACAAGGAAACAGAGTGCATTAGTCCCTGGCCTGAGAAAGGGGAGCTGCAAGTGCACGTGAGGGGCGCAGTCCCGTCTCTGACGGGGCGTGGGGGGGGGGGCGGTCCCGTCTCTCACGGGGCGTGGAGGGCGCAGTCCCGTCTCTCGCGGGGCTTCATGTACCAGACCGTGTTCATGTTCACACCTGGGAGGAGGGGAAGCAGGCATGGTCTGTGCGGCAGGTCCAGCCAACCCACAGGGCCTTGGATGAGTCTCTGCAGCTGAGGCTGGCACTGCCAGGGCTGACCCCAAGGCTGTGGCTAAATTGGGCTCCCAGCACTGGCCCTGTGTCCTCCGTGAGGAGATCTGCACCCCAGGTCTATGCATGGACTGTCCCCACCCCCAGGCCCCAAGCTCAGCTCCCTTCAACCTGTGTGTCCTCAGGGCACCTTCACTCCATCCACCTGGGTCTCCCCATCTTAGTGACCGTCTCCACTGTGGGTGCCAGGACCCTCTCTACTTCCATGGCTGTGCGTCAGGGCCACTGTGTGAGCTGGAAATCAGCGCAGGGAACTCTGGAGAGGGGAGGGAGTCCTGGGGAGGGGAGGGAGTGCTGGAGAGGGGAGGGAGTCCTGGAGAGGGGAGCCGATAATAACAGGGAAGCCCCATGAGGAGGGACCATGATGGAGCGAGGACTGAGTGCAGGAAGGAGGGTGTTCTAGGCCCGGGCAGAGAGGGGAGTCTCTAGGGAGGAGAAGTGCCGGGGGCTTTTACCCTCAGGGCCTATGGCAGTTGTGGGGTGATGGATGAGGCCTTAGACTAAACTCTGAGAGAATGGGATGTGGAGAGTTGTCTTGAGCAGGGAGGGAGTGGGGAGGAGGGAGGGGGCTCTGTGTTGCTGGTTGGAGGCATCCCTGGCACCTGTCACAGCAGGGGCTGGAGGGTGGGGCAGGAGCTGGGGGCAGTGGGGGTGGAAGAGGATGCAGAAAAGCTCAGATTGTGCCTCACATGGTGGGTGGGGCTGCTGGGCTTGTTAATGCATGGGATGGGGTGGGTCAGGAGTCGTGCTGGTCACATATGTCAGATGTGGGTGTCTGAAATCCCCGTGGCCACAGCTGTAGGCTGCATCCCCTGGGAGCTGGGGTGCAGAGTGTGTTCTGGCCTGAGGCACATCTGCAGATGGTGGTCCACAGACCCCCTGGGCAAGTGCAGACAGTGGGGAGGCAGGTGAGGGCCCCGGGTGCAGACGGGGGGTGGGGATGAGGTGGGTGGGGACCCAGGCCCTCACGGATGACTGTGCCTGTCCCTTCTCCCTGTCCCATTGCATGGGCTAAAATGTGCTAAATCTCCAGCACTGGACGGGACAGAGGGAGGGACCTGGATGGACCAGAGCTCTGCCTGTTTCTGGAACACAGTGTGGGGAGGGGCGGGCAAGCCTCAGAACGGGCTCCATTCTGAGAAACGGCCAGTCCCATGGGGCCTTGGATGCCAGTGGTCCGAGCATGGGCTGCTGCAGGCTCTACTTCAGCCCTTCATTTCCTGGTAGCCACTGAGCTGCCCCATGGACACTGGGCAGATGGCCAGTGTTAGCTGGGAAGGACAGCAGCAGCCGCAGAGGTGGCAGCAAGGCCAGGGCACTTTGCAGACGGCATGGACGGGTAGGTGCCTAGGGAGAGCCAGAGAGTGGTTGATGCCTCGTCCACCCTGGCCTTCCGAGTGGTCTGCAGCTCTGGGAGCTGCTGACTGGAGCAGGGTAGGTCCTCTGGGGCTCTGGGCACTGAGTCCCAGGTGACCCGCACGGCACAGGATGGCCTCTCACTCATGCTGCCCTTGCAATGAAGAGAGGCACAGGCTGCAGCTCGCTGGCCTGTGTGACTGATAGAGGCTGACAGCCTGGAGCCCCAAGCACCCCTGGCAGGAGCTGACCCACTTTCCCTTCCCTGGGCTGGAAACCTTGACATAACAGATGGCTGCAGGGCCCTGCTGTCCCTCTGATGGGGAGGAGAGTTTTTAATTAAAAGGGAGGCACAGAGCTCCAGACCAGCCACACCGAGATGCAGTCCATGTGTGCGGGTCCGTCGGCACCCACAGGTGAAAGGGTACAGCCAGGCTTATCTCAGGGTGCCCATGTGCACACAGAGGTGCTTCTCAGGGGCCACGCCATGCATTTGAACTGATACTCTGCTCTCCTTTCTGAGATCTGTCTACACGAATGCACTACTTAGAATGAGTCACTGAAGCAATGGTGTGAGCTGTGCTGTCCAGCAGAGCTGTCCGCGCTGCCAGAAATGGCCTCTCTCTGTGCTTTTCCCCCAGTAGCTGCCGCCGCCCACACGAGGCTGTTTGGCACTTTAAATGTGCTTGTGGATGTTTAGTTTTAAACTGAAAAAGGCACATGTGGCTGTCCTGCTGCACAGTGCAGCGAGAGCATTCTTATGCAAGGGTGATCTTCGGAGCCCTTTGTGCTACGTGAAGTCCTCCTTAAATGCAACGTGAAAATCCTTGTCCTTCAAAGTGTCATTTTATTACAAATAATAATGTAATAAAATTACAAATTAATACAAATACTATTACAGATAACAATTTGTAATAAAATTACAATAATTTTGTGATAGTCTGAGTGTGTTGATGAAGTGACCTATACATGTGTTTTTAAGCACAGGTGTAGACAGCGTAAGCGCGGGTGTAGACAGCGTGTCACTTTGTCAGTGCAGAGGTGCATCCCTGGCTGTGGCTCCCGTCCACCCCCTGACACCTGTGGCTGCTCTTTGTAGATCCTCCTTACACACCACAAAGGCAGTTGGAACGGGCTTTACGTCTGTGTTATCTTTGTGTTTTTCTTTTAGCATATTCTTTTAACAGAACTATTTTATTGAGAAAAAAGCCCTCTGCCCTGACTTTTAACCCATAGCCGCCTCTTCTGTGTGAACCGGTTGAATCAAAGGGCAGTGTCCAGGCAGCTCGATTATGGTGGGGGGTGCAGCTTCACAGGTTTCTGTTCCTGGTGGGTTTTACGAGCCAGCCCCCTCGGTGAGGTGTTGCCCTTCAGGGAAGGACTCGGGATGAGGCTGACTCTGCAGAGCCCAGTACCTCGGAGCAGGGTCCCCACCGTGCCACACAAAGTCACCCTGACTGTTGCACGAGTCCCTCACTTCCACTACCATCATTCTTTGCTGGTCAGTCATAAAATGAGGCCTTAATTTTGCCCAGTGGGCTCCGTCAACTCACTGAATGATGGCACACAGTAGTGACACGATGACTGCAGACAGCACTGTGTGCTTGGAAGGCACTTGCCGAGAACTGCCAAGGACACCAGCCGTTTGGCAGCTTGGTTGATGGAGACTAAGTCATATGAGAGCATGAGGGGATGAGGATGGCAGGCTTGGGACGTGAAGGGCCGGCTCCCACACCCTGGTCAGGGGACTCTGGCACCCCGTGACTGTGTGTTGAGGCCACAGCAGAAGCAGGGGGCAAAGCCCCAGGGCGCTGGGCCTGTGAGCTGCAAGTCCCCTGGGCCTCACAGGGGTAGCTCCTGCCAGTCTCCGGCTGCTGAGAGAGGTGCTTCCGTGACCCTGGGCAGATGCAGACCTCGGCCAGGGGCTGCGGTGGCCTGCCCAGCGTCAGGAGGGAGGCAGCCGTGGGGCCTCCCTGGAGACCTCTCCCAAGGCCCTCCCCTGAACTCCCGTGCACCCTGTGCCCAGCAGGCGAGGCCTGGTCAGCACATGGTGGGTGGGCAACCCCATTCTCCTGCCACCCGGGAGGCCGGAGTGGGAGCGGCCCAGGACACCCCTGGATGTGCGTGGTCCGTGAGACTCTTCTCTAGCAGCAGCTGTGCCTTCTCTCTCCAGGTGACGCCTTCTGGGCCCCATCTGTCCTTCCTCACAGCACCCTCAGCACCTTAAGCCACCACCCTCAGCCACAATTTGGCAGAAGGATGGAGTCCAAGGTCTCAGAAGGTGGCCTGAATGTGACCCTCACCATCCGCCTGCTGATGCATGGAAAGGTAAGAGGAGCCGCCATTGTCTCTGTAGGAAAGGCGGCCGCGGCAGACAGAACCAGAGATGCACTGCCCGGGCCATTGGCACTGTAGGAAAGGCAGACATGGCACATAGAACCGGAGATGCACTGCCCGGGCCATTGTCTCTGTAGGAAAGGCAGACATGGCACATAGAACCGGAGATGCACTGCCCGGGCCATTGTCTCTGTAGGAAAGGCGGCCGCGGCACATAGAACTGGAGACGCACTGCCCGGGCCATTGTCTCTGTAGGAAAGGCAGACATGGCACATAGAACCGGAGATGCACTGCCCGGGCCATTGGCACTGTAGGAAAGGCGGCCGCGGCACATAGAACCAGAGATGCACTGCCCGGGCCATTGTCTCTGTAGGAAAGGCAGACATGGCACATAGAACCGGAGACGCACTGCCTGGGCCATTGTCTCTGTAGGAAAGGCAGACATGGCACATAGAACCAGAGATGCACTGCCCGGGCCATTGTCTCTGTAGGAAAGGCGGCCGCGGCACATAGAACCGGAGATGCACTGCCTGGGCCATTGTCTCTGTAGGAAAGGCGGACATGGCACATAGAACCGGAGATGCACTGCCCGGGCCATTGTCTCTGTAGGAAAGGCGGACATGGCACATAGAACCGGAGATGCACTGCCCGGGCCATTGTCTCTGTAGGAAAGGCGGACATGGCACGCAGAACCTGACACTGCCTGGGTCATTGGATCATTTTTTAATCTTATTTTAAGCAATCTCAAACTTACAAGGCAGTTATAGGTACAGCCCCTTTGAGACAGTGCCAACCTGATATCTTCTGCGTGTTTCCTACAAACAGGGACCTTCTCCAGCACAACCACACACAGCCATCAGTGTCAGGGCACCCACACGGATGCGTTCCCACCACTGGCCTCCCTTCACAGCGGCCGCAAAGCATCCCCTGGTCCCCTGTCTCAAGTCCCTTCCACCTGGAGTAGGTCGTCGGCTTTGACTGTGCAGTCGGCACTTTCTGCACAGCGTGTGTGGAGCACCCATGCCTTGGTCTAGGTCTCCTGGCCGTTGGCAGGAACGTGGCAGCAGCTCTGTCCCGGGGTGTGCCTGTCAGCCGCTCCCAGGAACCTGTCCTCAGACTTTCAGAGCATGTGTTTCTATCCTCTGGGAGTCAGGTTGCTATGTTGTTCCCCGGCTTTTCCTTCCATGACCACGTGATTTGCTCCGATGCCCTCGCTGCCCCTGCTTTGGCCAGAACCCCAAGGCCCGACGAGTCCCTGTTCCTATAGCCCCATCCTGCTCTTTGCTCATCTTGTCTTCCTTGTCCCAGTCCTGGAACCAGCCACTGCCCCAGCAGCTCCTGTGTGTGGTGGCATGTTCTGGAAGCCAGGATGCATGGTGCTCCTGGGCTGCTGTGGGTCCTGGGCTGCTGTGGGTCCCGAGCTGCTGTGGGTCCTGGGCTGCACCCCTGCAGAACACTTCCTTCCATGTTCAGCTCCCTATATGGAACCCCAGTTCCAGCCCCACAGCACAGGGTCCCCCAGTTCTTCCTGCCTCAGGTGTGCACCACGAGGAATCCAACTGCCAGTATCTGTGCGTGGCCTCCCGCCGGGAGGAGGCTGCCGGAGGCTCTGAGCTCTAGCCCCACAGCACTGGCACATCCTAGATTTCCGGGAAGACACGGCCTCCTCCCCAGGGGAAGGTGGTGGTGCCCACACCCAGAGCATTCATTCCTGCAGTGGAGACAGAGGGACCTGCCTCTCCAACTGTGGGTGTCAGGAGCCAAGGCGCATGGTAAATGGGGCTCTCTGTGAGGCCAGGTGCACGGCCCCATCTCCAGCAGCAGCGGCCATGCCACCCAGCTGCACTCTGTGGGGGAGGTGCCATGATTGACGGGGGCCCCTCCCTGTGTCCAGTGTCCTCCTCCCTCCACGGGCCCCTCTGCACACCGTCCTCACAGTCTCCCTCTGCACACCGTCCTCACAGCCTCCCTCTGCACACCATCCTCATGGTCTCCCTCTGCACACCGTCCTCACAGCCTCCCTCTGCACACCGTCCTCACAGCCTCCCTCTGCACACCGTCCTCACAGCCTCCCTCTGCACACCATCCTCATGGTCTCCCTCTCCTTCCACAGACCCCTCTGCTCGCCATCCTGACGGCCTCCCTCTCCCTCCACGGACCCCTCTACACACTGTCCTCCCAGCCTCCCTCTACACGCCATCCTCACAGCCTCCCTCTCCCTCCACGGGCCCCTCTACACACCGTCCTCACGGCCTCCCTCTCCCTCCACGGGCCCCTCTGCACACCGTCCTCACAGCCTCCCTCTCCCTCCACGGGCCCCTCTGCACGCCGTCCTCACGGCCTCCCTCTGCCTCCACGGGCCCCTCTGCACGCCGTCCTCACGGCCTCCCTCTGCCTCCACGGGCCCCTCTGCATGCCGTCCTCACGGCCTCCCTCTCTCTCCACGGGCCCCTCTGCACGCCGTCCTCACGGCCTCCCTCTCTCTCCACGGGCCCCTCTGCACGCCGTCCTCACAGCCTTCCTCTTTTTCCACAGACCCCTCTGCACGCCGTCCTCACGGCCTCCCTCTCCCTCCACGGGCCCCTCTGCATGCCGTCCTCACAGCCTCACCGACGTCACCATTGCTGGCCCCGCTTCAGGTGACAGGCCACAGTAGCACCTGTCAGCTCTGTCCCGCTGCTGGACAGGGAGATACTGGGCCACTCAGCCCAGCGGGGAACGTGTGTCCCGAAACTGCCTTGGGCTCGCCATCAGAACTGTGGCAGCATCTTCCAGCGTTCCTTTTAACAGGCTGCCGTTGGAATAGGAGTCACGGAGCAATTGCAGTGCTAAGTTTTCTTTAAGTCACACAATTGAAGGAGGCTTTATTTTTCACACATTTCTTCCAGAGTTTCCTGGTAGCCTGAGTGCATGGGTGATGCCCCCTGAGTTATTTATCAGGGGCAGCCAGCTGCCCTCCCCCGGGGCACTTACAGTCAGCCCATCTCTGTCCTGGTCAGGTGGGCGCCAAGGAAGACCCGGCTCAGGGCCTCTGTATGGGCAGCCTGGCTTGTACACACACCCCTCCCCACCAGCAGATTCTGAATTCTCCCTTCTTCATGCACACCGGGAAGGTCCCTTCTGCACTCATACCGGGAAGGTAGGCAGGTTTCGGTAGTGTCTGCCTCCAGTGTTTTCCTCCTCCTGCTCTATGACATCATCTTTCTGTGATTTTTTTTTTCTTGCAGGAAGTTGGAAGCATCATCGGGAAGGTAATTATTGATTGAATCTCTGCCTCTCCTGGGGTCTCTGTAAGGGGATGGTGAGGATGGCAGCCTCCCTGGGTACTAGGTGGCACCCAGTAGGTGCGCCTTTCCCAGTTGGTGGGTGGTCTGTGTTCCATGAAGACAGGACCCCAGAGGTGTCGCCTTTATGCTGTATGACATTGAAGCTGGTCCCTGGCTCTGCGTGGCCTGAGGGGAAGGGGTTCACTCCAGCTGGTCACCTCGCTGCCCCCTGCCCGTGGCCTTGGTGGCCAGTCCTTCTTTCCCGGTTGAAGACCCCACGAAGAATGATTTCTCACGCCTTCTTCAGCCGGCTGTGTAGTCTGGGTGGTCTCCAGGAGTGCCAGTGGAGGCAGCAGCCCCCAGACAATTCCTTTCCAAATCAGGGCTGGCCCGGGGGAAGTAAGGCCCAGTTTGGAAGCCTGCTGCCCCGGGAGGCCGAGCAGTGAGGGCCACCTCCCTGTCTTCATCACATTTTCACCGCTTCCGGGGGTCCTTCCCCTCAGTCCCACCATGGGGGCGCCTCTAGTAGCTCATTGTCCCGGCTTCCTCCCAAACGCTTGAGAGGGCGCGTCTCTGAGAGTCACCACCTCCGGGAGGCTGAGCCAGAGTGTAGCCGGCAATGCGGGGCGCCTGAGGGCACGCACACTGCCATGTGCCATGAGTGAGCTGCCATGGGGAGTCAGGTCAGACCTGCGCCACCCTTGCCAGCTGTGTGCCTGTAGGTGGGTGCACTTGCATTCCTGGGCCTCAGTTTCCCATCTGAAATGTCTGCCAGGGTGTGGTGGGCATGGAGCCTGGCCTTCTTAGTGGAGAGGCTGGTTTGCTCCTCCAGCACAGGCAGGAGGCTCTGCTGTGTGGGCGTATGGGCCAGGCTGCTCCCCACCCACCATGGGCCGCGCCGTCCTCAGAGCCAGAGGGATACCTTTTCCTTATTGTCTAAATCTTTATTCCAGAAAGGAGAAACTGTGAAGAAGATGCGTGAGGAGGTGAGTGTGGTGGGTCCCCACCTGTCCGCAGCCATTCCCGGGTGGGCGGGGTGGGTCCCCAGGCTCTGCCCCTGCCGACGTCCTGCCTGTGCTCTTGGCCAGCCGGGGTGTGTGGGGAGTGCAGTGCGGGGCCTCTTTTCCCCTACTCAGGCCTCCTGTGCTCCCCTGTGGGGAAGGAATCTGTTGGATTCCTTTTGCTAGTTAAAATTTCATTGTAAAGGAGATTGTTGAGAAGCATTTTACTGTTCATTCATGGTTTCCGTCAGCGGACAGAGGCATGTGTTTGTGTCAATTGTCAACGGACTTGCGGCCCCCGACCCACTGGCCCAAGGGTTTTAATCAGGTCGCTGGGGTTTCTCTGCTCTCACCTTAGAGTGGTGCAAGGATCAACATCTCAGAGGGAAACTGCCCAGAGAGGATTGTGACCATCACAGGCCCCACAGACGCCATCTTCAAGGCCTTTGCCATGATCGCATACAAGTTTGAGGAGGTAACCTGCACCCCAGGCACCTCTGCCAGCCTGGCGGGGGCAGGCCTGGTCCCAGCTGGCTCCCTGGGTCCTCTCCCCTACACCTGGACTAGGGGATGCCCCAGCCCGCCCAGGCAACCCCATAACTACGCTCACCTCCTTTGCCTCCCAGGGCCTCTCCGCAGCTCTGGTTCACCCAGTCAGGGGCCAGTGTCTCTCCATCCTTCTGAAGCCAGCTACTCCCGGCTGTATGCCTTAGGTCCACCTCCCTCAGCTTCCCCAGACCCTGCCCTGGGGCACCGAGCACGGCCTCAGAACACCCCACCCTTCCCCTGGGGCGTGCAGCCTGGCTGACCCTTGGGCCACACCAGCACCTCCAGCCTCCAGCCAGCTCTGCCACATGGCTCTCGATGAAGCCCTGGCTGGCACAGCCCTGGTCCTCAGCCACACAGCACCATGCCTCTGGGGCCCCCGTGACAGCTGATGTAGCCTTGCTGAGATACGGACGGTAAAGGTAGAGGCCATCCGTGATAGTGGATATGAGACAGAGACAGAGAGAGAGACAGAGAGAGAGAGGAAGACAGAGAGAGACAGAGAGATGAGAGAGAGAGAGGAAGACAGAGAGAGAGAGATGAGAGAGAGAGAGACAGAAAGAGAGAGAGACAGAGACAGAGAGAGAGCGAGGGGGAGAGAGCAGCACTTCTGTGTATTCTGTCATTGAATGAAATTTTAATGTCTTTATGTGTTTCTAATTTTCTTGAAATTGCTGGAAGTTAGAGATGCATTTAGTGTCTTTGAGGAGTGACCATTAAGTAATGAGGTGCACTTTGTGGGAATAAACAAAGACCCCTCCAAGGGAGAATGGGCAGAGGCTCTTTATTATCCAAAGCTGGCCATGGTGGGGGTCGGCGCCATCTTCTGTGCTTGGCAGAGACTCAAAGGCAGGCAGGAGGGGGAGCTTGGGAGTGGGAGAGAAGAGGAGAGATGTGCCCTGGGGCCAGCAGTAGGGCTAGAAGTGGGGCATCCCATGTGACTGGTTGGAGGAGTGTGCGAGGCCTTTTCCAGTGGGTCCTGAGTTGGAACTGGGGATGCACATGAGGGAAGCTGACTGCCCAGAGCCGACTGCAGCAGAGCCTGTGGCCTGGCCTCCAAGGCTGGACACTGCAGACACTGGGGCCAGTGTTCCCCTATCGTAGGTGGCCTGGCCTCCAAGGCTGGACGCTGCAGACACTGGGGCCAGTGTTCCCCTATCGTAGGTGGCCTGGCCACTGTCTGTAGGTTGTCTCTTAGTTTCCCCTTTAAGCCACTCTCTCATTTGCAAGAGGATAGACAGTTCAGGAAAGGCTAGAGAGCCAGGTCACGCCGCTTGGGGATGGTTTAGTTGCCTTTTTGGTCAGCTGTGCTGCAGGGTCCTCTGGATCTTTCTGTTGCTGAGTCATCCTGGCCGTTGTCTGATGGGAGACTGATGGAATACAGCAGACCAGCATCATGACACCAAAACAGAAACAAGAACAACCCAGTCCCCGGATGGTGGTGAGACCAAGAGCGCCGTTACCCAACCCAAGGCAAGAGGACACATCCCATAGCCATGAGGACCAGCCTTGGAGAGTCTCATAGCCGCTCCTTAGGGTGCTGGGCAGCCCGCTCCTGGGACCTTCGCTCTGCAGGTAACATGTGCAGTGGCACAGACGCCAGCATGGCTGGCCAGCAAGAAACTGGAGAAAAGCAATCACCCACCGCTGCTTGTGCCAACACGTCTTCCACCCAGGGCAGGCGGTGTCCCGAATAACTTCTGCTGGAGTTGGCGATGGGTTTCTGACCGCACTTTCTGCCTGTGTGATTCCCACTGTGGGGGACACTCAGTCATCCCTTCCACGAGTACACAAATAATCACAGGTGGCCTCGTTTTGGAACTCGAGTTTGAGTCAGAATTTCCAGCTGTGGAGATTATAGAATTAGGGTCTTTGTACACAGAGAAGTCTCAGGATACCATTCCTAAGATGTCTGAGGTATTCATCTGAGGCCAGCAGGGCCTGGTGACTGGTCCCAAGGAAGCAGTGTCTGGTGGAGGCATATGGAGACTGGGGAAGGGCTGTTGCTCAGGACAAGAGGTTGGAACCAAGGCCTGTGTCCTCCAGCTTCAGTTGGGACCTGTTTTAGTTTCTCCCTCGTGGCCAGGGTTTCGTGGCCAGTTGCCCCATGCAGGTTGCTGAATTTAAGTTTTGAATGACCTAGGGACCGATCAGTAAACTTTAATAATTGGTTGCTTTTCTAGGAGAAAGGGACGCTAGCAAAGTCACAGGCAATTTGTTTAGAGTCAGTTGTCCACGTAGATGCAAGCAGAAAGACCATCAGCTGTCATTCCCCAGGGTCCCATTTGATGAGACTGGCATGTCTAGAGATGTGCATCCCTGGGGCCTGGTGGTGGGCGGTGTGTCCAGTGGTCAGTGAGAGTGAGGGCAGTGGTTACTGTTTGGGATAATCAAGAATGGCACTAGAACGAATATGTGCTAACATAACAATTATCATAAAGTGAAAAGAAAATAGAAAAGGGACCATCAACAGAGGTGGATGACAACCAGGGGTCCATGGAGAATAAGAGGGAGAATGATTATATATAAGCAGATGAAAAATGAAACAAATCAGACAGAGGTCTTGTCAGGACATCTGAGCAGACATTGTCCCTTGTCCAAGGTCTTCATCTTGCAGGAAGGTCTGAGATCAGCCGTCTGTTTCTGAAGAATGGCTGCCTCTAGAGGATCTCAGAGAACCTCAGTTTGAGGTCCTGTGTGGGAGTCTTTTTCTAGTTGTGTGGAATTCTGAATCGCTGCTTTGGCTGTGAAATGTGAAACCAAGGACTGATTCCTTGGAGTTTCACTGCTGGATTTGTTAGCAATACTTGTAAGACCCCTTGCAATGAGTTTAGAGAAACAGATTTTCTCTGACGTCCCTTCCAGTAGACAAAATCTCCTGGTTGAAGGTCCTAAGGAGGATGTTTGGGAAGATGTCATGGGAAGCAGCCGTAACCTACGCTATTACGTAGGTTATGTAGGGCTGTGCTGAGTCCTCTACAGTCATTTGTCATCTCTGCCGCAGCAGGGCAGAGTCGAGTATCAGGAATTCCTAAAGGTACAAGCCTTCCAGTCATCAGTCCATGGAGGAAGAGCTGAGATGTCTCCAAGCGCGCAGACTGTATGGCCAAGGAAGCTCGAGGGATTCGGACAGTTTTCATCTTTTGGTCCTTCGGTTTTTCCAGAAGACTGTGGATGCTCAGGAAGCTCGAGGGATTTGGAGTTTTCATCTTTTGGTCCTTTGGTTTTTCCAGAAGACTGTGGATGCTCAGGAAGCTCGAGGGATTTGGAGTTTTCATCTTTTGGTCCTTCGGTTTTTCCAGAAGACTGTGGATGGTCAGGACAGTGTTGTTCTTGAGTAAGGGGTAACTACTCAGAGAGTTCTGTTATAATGGTTTGTGTAAAATGTATTTCTCAATCACTTCATGTAAAAGTTGGTATGCTTCAGGTTGGAAATGCAAAATCAAGGAATTTTTTGGCAACTTTAAGGACCGTAGCTTTTAAACAAGGAAGTGCTTCAGCCCATCCTGAAAACACACACATAACAGCGAAAGTATTTCCAGTCCCAAGTGAACACTGGTTAAAATCTACCTGAAGGTGCTCAGAGGGCCCTTGAGTCGTCGCTCTGGGGCCGTGTCTCACCCTCACACCATGTCACGATTGTGCTGGTGACGGATACCTGGCCTTAAAAGAACCTCAGCAGTCTTTGTAAAGCTTCCCACCAGTGTTGACTGGAGATATTCATCCAGTCTTTGTAAAGCTTTCCCACCAGTGTTGACTGGAGATATTCATCAATTTGTCTACAGCATGATGAGTAGTTTCATGGATTGACTTAGCGAATATCTGTTTGAAATCATCTGGTACCACAGCCAGCTGAGAGCACCAGAGATTGAGTAAAGGATACAACCAGAATTTTCAGAATTTGTCCATTCTTCCTTTTCAAAATCAGGGGCGAAGTGTTGAAATCTTACAATGGCCTCTTGGCTTGCCTCCAGAGATCCAAACTTCGAGGCTTAGCTGGAGTCAAGCTGTGGCTAAAGCACTAGTTGGGCAGAATGACCCCCCAGAGCACCTCCTCCAACGACCGCATCTCCGTCTGCACTGGCCTCGCATCTGCAGTCACCACCTCTCTAGGAAGAAGTGTGCCCAAGAACTCAGCACCCGGCCCACGTAGGGTGGGCTTCCAGCAGAGCTAAAAGCCCCTCTGTTTCCAGAGCATCCACCGCCATGGGCCCTTGGTTAGTTGACAAGTGCTGGCAAGTGTGATGAGTTCTGCATCTGGCAGACTTTCTGCACCACAGAGGACTGTGCCGAAGGAGAGAGCCAGGTCAGCGGCAGCACACTGTCCCAGCCTGCTTGGGCTGCCATTGCAAAATGCCATGACTGCGTGGCTTACACGGCAGACGCTGGTTCTCTCACAGTCCAGGAGGCTGGAAGTCTCAGATGGAGGTGCCATCAGGGCCGGTTCCTCTGAGGCCTCTCTCTTTGGCTTGCAGATGCCGTCTTCTTCCTGGGTCCTCACAGAGTCACCCCTCTGTGTGTGTCAGTTCCTTGTCTCCTCTTACAAGGACACCAGTCAGATTACATTAGGGTCTACTGTAGGGACCCCATTTTACCTTAGTTACCTCTGTAAAGCCCCATCTCTAAACACAATCACACGGAGGGTCAGGGTTTCAGTGGATGAACTTGGTCCGGTTCTGCAGCACAGGCCCTGCCTGATCACCTCCAGCTTCAGTTGTGAAGTGGGATGTTAGGCCGGGATTCTCGACAGAGTCCACTAAGGCTGCAGGTAGGTGGGGTCCTCCACAGACTTCCTCGTCTCTGAACAAAGAGGGCGTCACCACGATGTGTCAGAACTGAATCGCTAGGGAGATTTAGGTCTTCTAAGTCTTAATGAGGACCTGGAAAAAGCAGGAGGAGACTTCAGTGACCCCCAGGGCGTGACTGTCCAAGTTCATCATTGTCCTCCCCATTGAGGGCAAAACATGCTCACTCTCCTGGTCTAGCGGCAGCCCTGGAGGGGCAGCGTGAACACCCACCACCATGAAGCACGTGGCTTTGGGAAGAATGGACAGCAAAGTTGTGTTTCGGTTCAGTACCCCTAGGAAGTAAGGGAGAATAATTTTGTTGGTGGCCCTGAGGTCTTCGGCAGATCAGTATCTTGGTATCTGTACTGGCAGGACAGGCGTGTCACAGGGGCTGGGGTCAGGTCAGGAAGGCCTTTGGGTAGGAGCCGTAGGGGTGGGGTCGGGCCGGGGAGGCCTTTGGATAGGGGCTAGGGTCGGGTCGGGAAGGCCTTGGACAGGGGCCGTTTGTCTGTAGTTTGAGCCCTTCTTTTGGATTTGGGGTCACAGGATTGTGGAGAATTTCGGGTCATGTTTTGGTGGAACCTCTCGGAGCCTTTAGAGGCTCTGCCCCGGTCATTTTGCCTGTGTTAGTGGGATTGTGTCAGGTGCAGCGTCAAGACCCTTACCCGGAGTCTACACCCACCTCATGAGGCAGGGGTCTGCCCAGAGCCCACACACTTGCCGGTGGGCCGAGGAGTTCTCCGGGAGCTCAGGAAACAGTGTCTCTGATGTACATTTAAGGTGCCATCCCGTTTTCAGGCAAAGTCTCTGCCTACTAAATTTTCAGGGGTGGAGTCCCAGAGCAAGAATGAATGTTTTCCAATCAAGGGCCCAAGGGTTACAGTTCAGGGCTGGAAAATAGGGAGAGAAAACACGGCGGGTGATTTGAAACGCCTCCCAGGGTGTGGTGTACCTAAACTGAGGAGGAGGATGACGTGAGACCTTTCTGCAGGTCGGATGCAGGAAGAGCCGCAGTGGCCACCAGGAGGATGAGGAAGACCACCTGCGTCCAGTGTTAGTCACCCTGAGAGCTGAAGGCCAGGCGGAGGCCGGCCGCCCGTTCCTTCCTCGGGCTCCCTCACTGCCTGGACCCAGGATCTTTCTATGTCTCAGTTGTTCTTTCTGGGGATGGGATCATCTTTTCTCTGGTGTCCTTTCTGAATGCAGCAGCTATTACATGAGTGTGCTTGTTGGGTGCTGGGGCTGGTGAGGGGCGCCTAGCTCTCTGGTCTGCAGGAGTCCTGGCTCATTTTTGTTCCAGAGCTTTTTCAGTGTGTTCTGCCAGTGGCTGTCATTCAGCAGAAGGGCTATTCCCATCCCTACTTCTGCGTTCGAGTGGGGTTTCACTCCACTGACCTCATGGGACGAAAGGGCTGCCCTCACGCCAGCGCCTCCCTTACCTCGAAGGGTAGAGACAGTCGAGGTTGTCGGAAGGGACTTTCTAGTCTGTCCCCAGATCTCCAGTTGTTTCATCTTACGTCTGTCTTTGTGCTTGTTCTAATCAGTTCCTACTGGAGATGTTTTAGGGGTGGCATTTAGGACTTTGCTATGGGACCTTTTTTGACCCTCGGGTTCATTTGTTGACAGAGTTCAGGTAACTCTGGGTCATGTGCAACCAAAAGAATTCTAAATTCTTCTGTTGGTCATTGCAGGTCTTGTCTGGGTGTAGGGAATCTGTAAGTGTGGCTCTGAATTCAGCTCCAATCCAAGGTTTAGCTTCTGGAGTTGCCTATTCGCCTGGCTCTCGGGGGATGGGTTTTTACAGGCAGCTGGCATTTGGGGGTTTTAGGAGGGCTGGAAAAGATAGAGGTAGAGTCGATGGAGGAGCTGGAAGGGAAGGACGGGGCGGGGGGAGTGCTGGGCAGGGGCAGTGGGAGGAAAAGGAGGGAGAGCTTACGAGCCTGGGGGTCTGGTTTGTTGCCGACGTCTGCCAGGTTGCTGACTAGCTGTAGCCAAAGAATGTTTTAGTGAAACTATTTTTAAATGAGAAGTTCATTTGAAGGCCTCTTCATACCAATCAAAAAATGCTGCCCATTGGGCCTGAAAAAATCTTATTATCTTTCTTTTTTAAGGTGCCTCTTAATGAACAATTTCGTTAAAGTCAAATGTTCCCCCAGGGCAGCCAGTGAGGCCCAATCATCCTTGGGGAATTGAGGCCACTTGGAGAGACAGGCACCAGAATTCCAGTTGCAGTGACTCCATTCAAGGAGTTTTCCTGGGAGAGGAGGGGATTGAGACATGGCCCCATGAGAGCGGGTGGCAGGAAGTGGGAATTTAGTGTCCGTGCCTGTGCCTCAGGTCCCTAACCCGACACCTTGACACACAGAGCCTCTCCCCAGCCTCACCAGAAAGAACGCTCTGTGTGGGTCAAAGTCAAGCTCTCAGCACAAAAAATAGACAAAGGGGACACCATCCTATTTCCTTGCTAGTCTATAGCAGTTTGTCCAGGCACACACTGGCCAAGCCTTGTTTCTAAGAAGAGGGCACTTTTCGTGGAGAGCAAATCCTGTTGCCCTGAATCGTAACTCAGGCATAATGGATCCAGAGCTGGGGGTGTCCTGGGGGTGCTGCCCTGTCACTGCCTCTGCCGCGCTGTCCGCCACGCTCTGCAGCGAGCTCCGGAGCTGCCCTGTCACTGCCTCTGCCGCGCTGTCTGCCACGCTCTGCAGCGAGCTCCGGGCCACAGCCTGGACACGCCCCATGCGGCTGACAGAAGCCCTGTCCCCCACGGGTTGCCAGCCTGAACCCAAAGCCCAGCTCTGTCTCCTGGGTGTCAGGACCATGAGCCAAACCAGGCTGCCCAGGAGGGTGGGCACAGGCCGCCCCCCACCTCAGCCTTCTCCCGCTTCTACATTAACCACACATCTCCTTCCCTAGGCCAGACACCAGGAGCCATTCTCTGCCCCCGTGCCCTCCACACCCAGTCGTGGCCTGTCCCCGACATCCCTGCCTTACCTGGCTCTGGGCATCAGACCCAGCCCCCAGCTAGTCTCCAGCCTCCATTCTCCCCTCCCCTTAGGCCAGCACCCACACTTCCTGTATCAGCCTGTCTGTCCACACCCCCTTCCCACCAGGTCTCCACGACCAAGGCCAGACCCGCCCCAACCCCACTGCGGCACGGTGACCATCCTGCCTTGCCGTCTGTGTGCCCTGCCAGCCTGCCCATCCATTTCAGCGACGTCTCCTGGTCCTCCCTGGCCTGGCCTGGCCACTTTGTCCTCGGCTGTGCATGACAGGGGCTCTGTGGGCTTCTGAGTGTGGGAAGTCAGGACACACCCCCTGCCCTCCTGCTTTCTCACTGCACGACGCCTGAAGTGCTGCCAACA
Source organism: Homo sapiens (assembly GCF_000001405.40). Classification (NCBI taxonomy): domain Eukaryota; kingdom Metazoa; phylum Chordata; class Mammalia; order Primates; family Hominidae; genus Homo; species Homo sapiens. The sequence continues at coordinate 45,909,337 of NC_000021.9, forward strand.
CACGTGTCTCTCCCCTAGGATATCATCAACTCCATGAGCAACAGCCCTGCCACCAGCAAGCCCCCAGTGACGCTGAGGCTGGTGGTGCCTGCCAGCCAGTGTGGGTCCCTGATCGGCAAAGGAGGCTCCAAGATCAAGGAGATCAGGGAGGTAACAGGACCTTCCCAGCCTGGGCCGCTGCGGAGCCTCTAGGCGGGCTGCGGGTGGTGGCCACAGGCCAGGCAGCCTTCCTGAGCCTTGTCCCTGCTGTCTGCAAGCCCAATGCTGGCCACGCAGACCCCACAGCTCAAAGTGCGAGACAGGAACACAGGACCCATGAGCAAGCACAACTGCACTGCAGGGACCCAGCCCACCCACTGCCCAGATACGGACCCGGCCACCCACTGCCCAGATACAGACCTGGCCCACCCACTGCCCAGATACGGACCCCCCCCACCCACTGCCCAGATACGGACCCCCCCCCCACCCACTGCCCAGATACGGACCCGGCCCACCCACTGCCCAGATACGGACCTGGCCACCCACTGCCCAGATACGGACCCGGCCACCCACTGCCCAGATACAGACCCGGCCCACCCACTGCCCAGATATGGACCCCCCCAACCCACTTCCCAGATACGGACCCCCCCACACACACTTCCCAGATACGGACCCCCCTCACCTGCTTCCCAAATATGGACCTGGCCCACCCACTGCCCAGATATGGACCCCCCCCACCACTGCCCAGATACGGACCCCCCCCACCACTGCCCAGATACGGACCCCCCCCCACCCACTGCCCAGATACGGACCCCCCCCACCACTGCCCAGATATGGACCTGGCCCACCCACTGCCCAGATACGGACCCCCCCCACCCACTGCCCAGATACGGACCCCCCACCCACTGCCCAAATATGGGCCCTTTCCACCCACTGCTCACCTATGGATCCTGCCCACCCACTACACTCCTATGGGCCGTGCTGGGGACAGGGAGGAACTAGCTGGTCACATGGTTCTGGGCAAGGGAGGCCCTGGGCACTGGGTGCTGTATCTACTCCCTGTGAGGGGCCTCCAGGGCACCTGGAGACAGCCCTGAGCCATCGGCCTGTCCCAGTGGGCAGAGTTTGCAGATGTGAACTTCACATCCACACGTTTGTCCCATTTCAAGGAAAGCCTGAATCCTTGCCCTATGCAGCAGGGCAGCTGCCCCAATCTTCATTTCCTTTCCCATGACCAGAGTCCACCTTTCTCTGTGACCTAAAACTCCACAGAGGAGAGAGGATTCCGTGTATTTGAAAAGAGTCGTTTGTCTCCCTGAAAATGCCTCTGATTAGATGCCTCCTTGTCTAGCCTTGGCCAGGTGCCAAGTGCGCCCGAGGGAAGGCACAGGGCCGGGTGCCAGGCCGTGGTAGCAGGGGCAGCATGGGGGCAGTGCTGGGATGGCGGTGGGGGAGGGGGCGCGTGGGCTGTATGCAGGTTTCCAAGGAAGTGTCCCCCGAGCTGCCTTGGGTGCCGAGACTCGGGAGGTACTGCTGCCCCATGCGCTGCTACCCTGGTGCTCCCTTCCAATGTCCCCTCTCTCCAGTCCACAGGTGCCCAGGTGCAGGTGGCTGGGGACATGCTGCCCAACTCCACGGAGCGAGCGGTGACCATCTCGGGGACCCCAGATGCCATCATCCAGTGCGTCAAGCAGATCTGTGTGGTCATGCTGGAGGTACCGTCTGCGCGCCAGGGCCAGCCCACGTCAGTGCTGGATTTGGCCTCCCAGCACTGCAGGCAAAGGCTTGGAAGCCCCGGTCGCCCCAAGGACTCACACAGTTGGGGCTGTGGGGGGCTCCTGACCCCAAGTCAGCCTGAGCGAGAGCGGTGCCGGTATGGGCGCCACAGGGGTGCTGGGGCTGCCAGCTCAGGGTCCAGTGTCTTCGTGGGGGCGTCTAGGGGAGAGCATGTGGAGAGGAGGGAGCCTCTCCTCTCATCTTCGGATTTGGGTAAGAAGTTGTCATCCCACTGAGGGGTCTTCTGCACTGAGTTGGAGCTGCAGAAACAGTGCTCTTTACGTTGGAGTCAGGCCTTGGGGGGCAGCTGGGGGTGGGAGGGAGGCAAAGGCAGGAGGCTCCTCTGCGCATGCAGTTCTGCAGAAGGAGGCGTCAAACCACCGTGGAGGAACAGAGGTCAAAACTCGGGAAAACATACAAAACTCATGCAGAAGTAGAGATGGGTGAACAAAAGCATTAAAACGGAAAAGCAGAGAAGAACCCGCTCAGAGCAGACGCCTCTCTTGAAGTTTCGGGGGGAGGAAAAAACTCAGAAGTATACTCAAAATTCATGAAGCTATCAACAGTTGCCAGTCTTTCCTGAAGCAAAAATGAAGAAGCCTCGCCCCAGATGGAAAGTTCTAGCAGCTCTGCAGGGTCAGCCTCCAGCCCCTCCTGCAGCCCAGGCTCACTCCTCTCTCGTACTTGGCTTGGGGTTCAAACCCCATGTTTGACTCTTTAAAAAATGTTTGCGTAGTTGTTGTTTCCCTGAAGTTTGATACTTTGTGAAGTGAAAAATATTTTTCAAAATATTCTTGTTCTGAAATCTTCCCCACTCCCTGGTTAGGGCGAAAGTGCCATGCTGGTCTGAGCTATCTGTTCAACTCTCCAGTCTCAGGCCCTGGAGGCCCTGCGGGCCGAGGCTCAGGAGCAGCCAGTGACACGAACAGTTCTAGGAGGGACATCCCTAATGGAGGGCCGAGGTCCAGCTCCTCAACAACACGTGGGTCTCGTCAGCGTCACCCAGTGCCTCTGCTGCCTGCGTCCCGGTGCAGTGCCAGGTGCAGCTCCACAGATGCAGGTGCACCCGCTGCCCCAAGGCTGCCCATGCCCCCAGAGCCATCATCCGAACCACCCTATCTCCTTCCTGGGCAGGGAGGTTTGAGCAAGACAGGGAGCTCGTAGCAGACATGGCCAGTGAAGATGGCCAGGCAGCTGCTCTCACTCCCGCTGGCTGTGCTGCATCCCAAGTCCCAGGGGCCATCATCCCAGGGAGGAAGATTCATCACACCTGGAAACAGCTGGGTCCGCCCTCAGATGAAGAGTGACTGGAAAAATAAAGCCAAGGATGCCTTAAAGACCCTCCTGGTTGATTGGAGGACTTCTGGGCTTGGTAGTGGGCATGCCTCACCTCACACCCAGGAGATGACGGAGGAAAGGGCTGCCCAGGGTGCCATGAGTCTGGGTGGGGCCTGCTGAGAATACAGACATCGCCACAGATGGTGCCCTGCCCACCCAGGGCCCAGCACCCTGTACCCAGTGCAGGGAGGCTCATGCAGTCCCAGGGGAGGCCAGCAGGCCCTGTGCCCAGAGAAGAAGTGGGAATCACAGGTCAGGGTCAGCTGGGAGCTCCTGTGCCTGGGTGGGGGTCGAGGGCCCATAGCACAGGGGCACTGGCCCGAGGCTGGGCATCTCCAGGAGCCGGGGAGGGCAGCAGCGGCTCCCGTCTACCTCAGTCAGTTCCTCCCACCCCAGGCCCAGCTCAAGTCAGCCCAGACCCGCCCCACATCCCCTTCCCCACAGTACTTGAGGTCACACCCCAGGGCCCTGGCGCTGCGGATCCAGCCACCCACTCCCCATCTTGGGGCTTTGAGTGTGAGTGGCGCTCCCTGAGTGCTGGGCTGGCCCTGAGTCAGCCAAGGCCCCAGAACTCCCAGCAGGACAGGCTGCCCCCTGCCAGGAACGGCTCATGGGCTCCAGCCCCCACCTCTTCCTGCTGGACCAACCCCAGCTGTGGTGCCCCCCAGGCCCAGGACTTCTGCCTCCTTGACCTGGGCCCTGGGGACAGTTAGACAGGGGACTCACCCAGGAGAAGGAGGGCAGGCTAAAAATGCTGGCGCTGGAGAATGTTAATCCTGTGTTTCCGACAGAATACCCAAGGGAAATTAAGGCAAACCTCATCGTAACTATGGGATTTTTTCCTCTGGAGTCTATAAGCACTTTAAACATGCTTTTTCACATAGTGAAGTGAGATGTTTCCAAGTCTCCTGTGGAGATCTCTGCTGACTGTCACCACGGGCCAAGCCAAGCGCTTTGGATATAGGTCCCGGTGGAGTCCTACAGGGCTCAACTTTCTCCAGAACATTCAAGAGAATTGCTCCAAGGGGCAGCTCCCTGTGAAGCCGTGCAGCCAGGCCTGCAGGGCCCTGCGCATCCCAGGAGGGGCCCCGGTGGAGGGGCCAGCACCGCAGGGGGCCGTCTGGGTTGGCGGCCAGCCCTTGTCCAGCAGGGTCTTGTGGGCAAGGGACCCACCCCAGCTGGCCTCCCACAATGGGACTGACTCTCCGCACTGCCACAGAGCCTCCCAGGGATGTTCGGGGCAGGCGGTACTCTCAGGAGGCCGGTGTGTGGCAAACTGCAGCCCAGGGCTCAGCAAAAAGGAGCCCTCTGGAGGGACAGGCCATAAGACAGCCACACAGAGGGTGTGGGGGCTGGAGGTCTTCACTCCCCTCCCCCAGCACTGCTGCGAAACTCGGGGAGGTGTGGGGAGCGTGGAGCTGGTGCAGGGGGCTGAGTGGGGTGGGCCGGGGCACGCCTCCCCATTGCCAGGCTGCGAAGCTGCTCTAACGCTCTCTCTCCCTCTCCTGTCCCTTTTCCTAGTCCCCACCGAAAGGTGCCACCATTCCCTACCGCCCAAAGCCCGCCTCCACCCCTGTCATTTTTGCAGGTGGTCAGGTAAGAGCCGATCCGCTCGCGGCCTCCACTGCCAACCTCAGCCTTTTACTGCAGCACCCGCCGCTGCCCGTTAGTGCACTCAGGTTTTCTCGCCTTCTCACGTGCACGTCTCCCACCCGTGCTGGAGGCAGAGCTCTTCCACCTACACCCAGCACCAGGCGGACGCAGGGGGCCTTCAGAGCGGCATTCCCCCACAGAGACGGCCCCACGGAATCATGTTCTCCCTCCCTGACCCGGGCAGGAAGATCTGGCTCTGCCTAAATCCAGTTCCCAGAACTGGGTGTTTTTAGGAAGCTTAGATAGCCGGCGCGCAGGCGCTTTCTAGGTGATTTTACGTCTCACGTTGGAAACAGCATGGTGAGAACCAGGGTCTTGTTTCCACTGACATCCGTGTTCCCAAACTCCCAGGATGTGCTTGTAGCAGGGACGTGCGAGAGGAGGGAGCTCTGCACTGAGGAAGGATGCATGGCCCGACGACCGGGCGTCTGTGCCGCTGTGTCCGGACCTCCGTCTGCTGTGAGCAGGGGCCTCACAGGCGCCCCATACCCCATACCCAGTCTGCAGATCTGGCTCTTTTGGTTTCAGCCCTTGAGCTCTGTGTTCTCCCGCCAGGGATGGCAGCACCTCTGCAGGAGAGTGGAGGAGGGGAGCCCTGCCCCAGCCCCTCACCTGAGCCCAAACCCTGGCCAGGGCACAGGGAACACCCACCCACTCAGGGCCAGTCTGTGGCCAACAGACTTTGAAGGTGTCCGGCGGGGGTTGGCCTGGAAGAGCTCTGTGTCCAGTCGGCCGTGATGTGTGTCTTTGTTCAAGGGAGAGTTGAGACAGACGTTCCCACAGGTGACCCTGGCAAGGCAGAACAGGCCTGAGGTTTGACTTTACCATCAAAAAGGAGAGAAGGGGCAAATGTTAGCACTTTTCCTGGTGCTTTTCCTTACGGTGTAAAGGAATCTTATCAGATCTCCCAGTTGTGGCCCGTGTTTGAGGGAGAGACAGGGAGTGTGTGTCCATCCCTTCCCTCCCAGGGTCCCGTGTGCTCAGGGCAGGGTATGCCTTTTCCCCACACTGGCCTCGTCTCCACAGCCTGGCACACACCCCTTCCTGTCTTGCTGTGGTCAGGGAGCCCCCACATGCACATGCCATCCTTACAGCAGCCCCAGGGCATGGCACACCCCCATTTTATAGCCAGGAAACTGGGCCTGGCTAGCCAGGGATTTGCCTGGTGTCACAGCCCTGTGGGCAGCAGGACATGTCCTTACCTCGCCGACCTAGGGGGCTCAGGTCACAGGGTCACACGGAGTCACACGGCGGGAGAAGTCCCTGTGCAAAACTCCATTTCGCTGCTTTCCCCAAATTCATGGTTAGGTAACCGGTTTAGTAACCTCTGTGGACTCCACCTTTATGTTTAAACAAATCCATGATGATATCATGTGGTAAAAGGTAGGATTTTTTTCAAAAGGAAGGTGTGTTTATACAAACACATGTGGGGTCTTAAAGCCACTGGGGGAGGAGTCACAGCTCCAGGGAAGAGGGGGTGCAGCTGAGCCCTGCTCAGCCACCGGCCACACACCTCTCACTCCTGTAAAGAAGGCAGTAGCACGCCCTCCCTACTGCAGCAGGTGAAGGGCCCTGTGCAGTGGGTGCTGTCCGAAGGTTGATGCTAGAATGTCAGCCCTTTGAGAGCTGGGCCCTGGGGCCCTGGGGACAGTCTGGTCTGGCCAGTGGTCAGCCTTGGTGGTGGAGGACAGAGTCGCAGGGAGTTACCCACCCTGAAGTAACCCAGGGGAGCTGCCGAAATGCAAACCCAGAAGTGTGGGCCGGATACCTGCAAGGCCACTGGCGTCTCCTTGACGACTCAGACCCACAGTGCCTAGATTAGGACACACAACCCAATACAGACCCTAGAGAGCTAACCTGGAGGGCCCATCCACTTTATTTCTGTCCAGTTGGAGAAATCAGGGACCTGGAAGATGCCCCACCACTGTGAGTGCTCTGGGGGCACCCAGCAGCAGCTCCTGTCAGCCACCACCGCGTTTCTAGCACGACATGGTCGTGAGTTAAATCAGCAGAGCCTGCTAAGGGACGAGCAGATAGAAAACATAACAGTAAGAAGATCAGTCAGAAAACTCGCGTGGCCCAGGATGCAGGATGCTTGAGCTCTTGTGGTTCAGCTCAGACAGTTGGGGCTGACCTGGGACCCCGTGCGCTGAGGGGGCGGCTCCCAGCATGAGTTCCAGGGCCCCTCACCTTCGGTGACACATGGGAACGTGCCTCTGGCAGCACCTTTACAAAACACTTGCAGGTGGCCCTCAAGACACTTTGTACAGGACAGTGAGGTCCTTGGTTCCTGCTCTATCTGATAAGATTCTTTTACTTCCTCAGCTGACGCAGCACTGTGGCCTCACAGCCCTGGGGCTTGTTTCAAAGCTGGGCTGCAGCCGGGTCCCTGTCTGGAGGTTGACTGGCCTTTAACTCCGAGGATTGGGTTGTTTATGATGAAAACTCTTGGCAGATTCAAAACCCATGGGAGGGTTTGGGCTGCACAGAGGTGACACACATCCTTCCCTGAAGTGTCCCTCTCTGGTGCACAGGGTCCCCCCACCCCCACGTGTGGTCACCGCGAACACCGATACCACGGGTCCTCATGGGAAGTGGCGTGGGGCCCGCACAGCCAGGGGCTGGTAGCCGCTCCCTCCACCCCCAGGCTGCCACCAGGCCTGGTGCAGCCCTGTCCATGTCCCGAGTCCTGACAGCTGTTCGTGGTCTTCACTCTCCCTTGACTCTGTGTGGTCCATTTGTTGTCTGGCCATGAGTTTCTGAATCACCTGAAAGCGTCTCCACTGACGGGACCTGTGGGGCAGGTGGGGCCTCTCTCACCTGCCCGGATTTCAGAGTCAGGGTGGGTGGGAAGAGGCTGCAGGTCGGAGTCACTGTTTTGAAGGCGAGGGAAATACTGAAGCCAAAATGAGGCCTCAGGAGCCCCACACGATGGCTTGGGAGGGGTGTATTGCTGCCCCCACGTCAGGAGGGCCACCCCCTCCCTGTCTTCAGGGCGGTCATGAGAGGCAGCAAGCTGTGACTGACGTAGACCCACTTCCTACGTAGACTGGCTTTTGGTGAATTGGTTTTGGTCACCTTTTAGAGCTTTCTTTTGTTGTTTGGACTTCTTGGGGTAAATTATTTCCCAAAAGTATTTACTCAGATGACTGATTAAATTTTCAAAACCGTAATAATTAGTGGAGACCTCTTACTGGGCAGATCACTCTTCGATTCTTTTGCTTTAAGAAACTTGGAGTCGGAAGCATCAAGGCTGAACTGTTTCCCTCCCACCCGCTGAACTGGCCAGCTCAGCTCTGCCCGCCCAGAGGAAGTGGGTGCGGCTCCCCTGGGGCTCCTGGTGCCCTGGGAGGGTTGGCCCTTTGTCCTAGGATGGGGACAGGTGGAGAGGCACACGAGGGGGAAGCTTCTACCGGAGGGTCCTTGTCATGCTGGAGGGTGGCGGCGGGTGCTGAGCCGTGGTGCAGCCAGGTTGCAGTCTGACGGGGTCTCTCTCTCTCTCTAGGCCTACACAATCCAGGGACAGTATGCCATCCCTCACCCGGATGTGAGTCTTCACTTTGTCTTCCTCTCACCTTTCTCTTCTCATGGTTGTTTACCTACCTGCATGCTGCTGTTAATTGCTACTAACATTAATATTACACAATAATATTAATCAACTTCTCAGCGTTCCTGACCTGTGTCGTATCCATATGACCTCGAATAACCTTTTAACCTCTTAGCACTAATTCTGCTTGTGTTGAGGACTTGGCCTGATGTCAAATTGTCTCAATTCTGCCGCAGTCCTGGGTTTTCCTCCCTCCCACGGGGCCTGGGAGGGAACTGAGACGGGCTCTGTCCCCGTGCAGGGCAGTGAGGATGTGCTCACCCGCCACAGGCAGGCGTCAGTGATACTTTCTCTGCGCCTAAGAAGTTGGGTGACATTATCAAACAGGCCACAAAGATACCTTGGCAAGCACATTTGAGGGCCTGGTGAAATTAACTCCCCCTTTCAGAGTCCACATGAAAACATAGGGTCCATCTACACACACAGATCCAGGCTGTGGAAAGCCAGTGGAATAGGCCTTTGTCTTCATTCCAGAATCAGTGGGATGCCAGGCGGGCATAGCGTCCTTGGCTCCGCCCGGGCCATGCGGAGCTGGGTCCCATGCAGCTCCATGACCGGGGGCTCCGACACCTCTTTTCTGCTCCTGCTGGGTCTAGGTGTAATTCCAGTGCTGGAGGAAGAAGTTACCCTCAGATAAACGGTCGGTGTAATTCCAGTGCTGGGGGAAGAAGTTACCCTCAGATAAACGGTCGGTGTAATTCCAGTGCTGGGGGAAGAAGTTACTCTCAGATAAACCGTCGGTGTAATTCCAGTGCTGGAGGAAGAAGTTACTCTCAGATAAACGGTCGGTGTAATTCCAGTGCTGGGGGAAGAAGTTACTCTCAGATAAACGGTCGGTGTAATTCCAGTGCTGGGGGAAGAAGTTACCCTCAGATAAACGGTCGGTGTAATTCCAGTGCTGGGGGAAGAAGTTACCCTCAGATAAACCGTCGGTGTAATTCCAGTGCTGGGGGAAGAAGTTACCCTCAGATAAACCGTCGGTGTAATTCCAGTGCTGGGGGAAGAAGTTACTCTCAGATAAACCGTCGGTGTAATTCCAGTGCTGGAGGAAGAAGTTACTCTCAGATAAACGGTCGGTGTAATTCCAGTGCTGGGGGAAGAAGTTACCCTCAGATAAACCATTGGTGTAATTCCAGTGCTGAGGGAAGAAGTTACCCTCAGATAAACCACTGGTGTAATTCCAGTGCTGGAGGAAGAAGTTACTCTCAGATAAACCGTCGGTGTAATTCCAGTGCTGGAGGAAGAAGATACTCTCAGATCATCCATCGGAGGGGAACCCTGGGCGGCTCTGGGCTGTGCGGCTCAGACCCCTTAGGGGCCAAGAGATAAAAGGTGCAAACTGTGAGCAAAGGGCCTCTCTGGAGGCGGCTTTAGGGCCCCCAGGGAGTGACGGCCGCACTGGCAGGCACTGGGGAGAGGAGAGGGGAGAGCAACAGAGAACGAGAGACAGACGGCCCCACCGGAAGTGCTTCGTGCTGTCAGCAGATGGGGCAAACCTGGAGTTGGTTCTGAGGAGGTTTCTCTTCTCTAAACCATTTTGAACGTTTGCCCAGCTCAGTAGCTGCTCCTCGTAACGCAGTTCCAGTCTGTGTGCTGCTCCCTCTGAACTGCGAGAGGCGCCTCTGAGCTGGTTGGGAGGTGGCCGCCAGGTGAGCGGGCTGCTCCAGAGCCTTCTGCAAACCCTGATGCTTTTGAGTTGGGGGCAAGGACGTCCATCTGAGTGAGATGAGAAGGCAGGTCAGGAGTGTTTTTAAGAGTTAATGAACATTAAATAAATCTTTGATATAGAGATGCAATTTACTATCATTGCAGGAAAATTTATATTGAATGGAGAATAGATAACAATAGTTATTCCATTAAAGGCAACACATGAATCAAATGGTAGAGAAACGCTGATCAAGAAAAGCCTTTCCCCACCTGCCCCAGAGGCCGTTTTTAGTGGTTCCTGGCGTCAGACCTTTGGTGATGCTGCTGTAGCTACATCAAGGACATCTCATCCTGGGGTCAGCTGTAGACACCAGTGCCTGACCCCACTAGGAAGCCGGGCTGTGGCCACCACACACCGGAAGGCACTGTTGGGGCTGCCCCAGCCTGCGCCCAGCAGCAGCGTTGGGCAGAAGCAGAGGTGTGTGTGTGTGTGTGTGTGTGCGCGCGCGCGTGCGCGTCCCCGTGCATGTGTGTGGCAGGGGTGTGGGGGGCAGGTGTGATGTGTCCTAACAGAAAGCCTGTGTGAAGGAAGATGAAGATGGAAGCCAGGGGAGTCAGAGGCGACTTTCTGGGGTGGCCCAGTTCCATTAAGGACTCAGGACAGGTGGTCACGCACATCTAGAGATGCACGTGTGCAGAGGCAGGTTCCAAAGGGGGGGTCACTTGACTTTGCAAAGCTCTGGAACCCAAAGGAAAGGCAGTGTGCGGTGCCCTTGGTAAAGGGAAGGTTAGTCGATGGGGTCAGGGTTTGTGTTTACCCCAGACAGTCGCCCTGAAGTTGGATGCTCAGACCTGCAGGGACCCTCTGGTGACACCTTACGGATTTCCTGTGGCCACAGAGCCTAACGTTCTCACTGTGGCCTTTGGCTGAGCACCCGTCTGAGCCAGAATGCTTGTGGTCTGAAATTTCCAGAGGCCGTGGCTGTGTGCCACGGTGGGACTGCAGGACCCTGATGTTTGGTGATTGGCTTTTACTTCGATTGGTGGCTTTGCTCTTTCTCATGTGACTTTCTCAGTATCTCTTAGAAATGGGTAGTTGTGCAGATTGTTTCAAATTAGTTTAATGTATAACTAACTGTTAAGAGAACTGCCTCAGTGCATGTGGTAATGATTTGAGATACCTGGTGCTATGGTTTAAATATGTCTATTCCTCCACAATTTCTCTGTTGGAACCTAATCACCAAGGTGACAGTATTAGAGGGTGGGGGGTCCCAGGGCTGGGGAGTGATTGGGTCATGAGCGCTCCACCCTCGTGAACAGCATTGGTGCCCCTATAACAGAGGCCTCAGATAACAGAGGCTTCAGATAACAGAAGCTTCAGAGAGTGGCCTCCCCTCCATCCCTCCTGTCATGTGAGGACAAGAGCGTTCAGGCACCATATTGAAAGCAGAGACTTGGCCCTTCCCATACACCAAACCAGCCAGCACTTTGATCTCCAGTTTCCAGCCCCCATAACTGTGAGCCACACATTTATGCTGTTTCTGAATTGCCCGGTCTAAGGCATTTTGTCATAGCAGCAGGAGTGGACTAAGGCGCTTGGTTCTTTACTGTGAAGTATCTCTCTGTGGAAGACATTCTGTTTCTACATCGGTGTCATGAGATTTGCAGAGCAGCTGTTATTAATAGAAGACTGGAAGCTTCCATGGTGCTTTTCTTGCAGGCGTGTAAAATTGAAGACTTGGACAATCACTTAATCATTAAACACAAAAATAAAATGATTGTTTAGTGACATAGGTAACAATAGTCAGGAAGCAATTTGTATCTGAGCTTGGTATTTAGTAGAAATTTTTAAAGCATCGGTATTTAGTAGAAATTTTTAAAGCTTCAATTTCTTACTATATCAATATAATTATAGAATATGTTGTTTTAATTTATAATGTAATTGAATACAAAGTTTATTTATACCACAGTGCCGGCTTATATACAGATACTAGAGTCATTTTTTAGGAACGTGATATTTGACCTGGATGTGTGGGCCCATGAATAAGAAACATCAAGCATAAGAAAATACATTCCTTAGGTTTGAGTATTTCTTTATGTAAAACTAAAATATGCATGTGTTTTCTGTGCCCAGTTTTAAAAAGTGTTTTTAGCTTGTTCTTATTTAAGAATCATCTGGGCTGGGCATGGTGGCTCAGGCTGGGTGTGGTAGCTCAAGCCTGTAATCCCAGCCCTTTGGGAGGCTGAGGCAGGTGGATCGCTTGAGCTCAGGAGTTTGAGACAAGCCTGGCCAACATGGCGAGACCCCGTCTCTACCAAAAATACAAAAAAATTTAGCCAGACGTGGTGGCACACGCCTGTAGTCCCAGCTACCCGGGAGGCTGAGGCGAGAGGATTGCCTGAGCCCGGGAGGTGGAGGTTGCAGTGAGCCAAGATCATCCCTCTGCACTCCAGCCTGGGCGACAGAACGAGACCCGTTTCAAAAAAAAAAGGAGTCATCGGCACTGATCTGCCTTCGCCTGCTTTTCTCCAGCTCCTCACACGCCACATGCATCATTTTACCCACGTCCTCCTCGAGGCTTACTGTGCTCTGGATGTGCAGGTGTTTTGAAGAGGCACAGAGCTGCTCGACAGGGTGAAGGACTTAGGAGGACTGAAGTCAGGCTCTCCAGTATGGCCACTCGGCAGCCCTGGAGACTATCCATGTGCCTCTGTGTGTCCTGCCTGGGTCAGACCAAGTGCAGTTTCAGAAATGAGAAAGAGAAACAGCACCTGAGACCTGGGACCTGAGAGCAGAGCCGAGAGCGCCCACACCTGGACAGACTGCTTGACTCTCACCCAGCACGTCTGCACCTTTAATTACAGCGGGGAAGTTACACCAGGAAGGAATTGTTTTTTCTGGAAGAAATGAGTGAACTTCAAAAATACCCTCATAGGCCAGGTACAGTGGCTCTCTCCTGCGATCCCAGCACTTTGAGAGGCCAAGATGGGAGGATTGCTTGAGCCCAGGAGTTGGAGACCAGGTTGGACAAAAGAGCAAGACCCCATTTCTACAAAAAAATACAGAAATTAACTGGGTGTGGTGGCACACACCTGGAGTCCCAGCTACTCAGGAGGCTAAGGTGGGGCAGTTACCTGAGCTCCGGCAGTCGAGACTGTAGTGAGCAGAGATTGCACCACTGCACTCCAGCCTGGGCGACAGAGCAAGACCCTGTCTCAAAAAAAGAAAAAATACCCTCATATATACAAATCTTTATTTCTAGTCTTCCAGCTCTCCTAATCACTCCCTTACTTAACGTCCCCATCATTTAAAGGGGATGTTGAAAGCAAGCAAAAATAAAAACATGTTAGAGTTGACGAAGAGTTTGCCATGTAGGCGATTTTAGATGAGCCTTTGCACCAACCCTGTGAGGCAGATCTCAGGACCGTGGGGCCAGTTCCACACACGAGGAAGTGGAAGCTCTGAGAGGTGCCTTGGCCAGAGCTAATGAGCCAGGGAATGGGAGGGCTTGGCACAGCCGCCCAGGCAGCTGGACGTGAGTGGCAGATGTGCAGCAACGCTGGGAATCAAGCGGACACCAGTGTCTACTAAGAAGCTGGTTCTTCAGTGAAAGAGTCGTGGGGAAATTGTAGAAATGTGTCGTTGTAAGTGGGAGCCAGGGATGGGAGGCACGACCAGATCCTGTGCTGGATGCGGCCCTTCATCCCAGCTGTGCAATCCCCGGGACTCTGTCGGTGCCACGCATTTCCCCTGGACACATGAAGGGCACGCGTGGGCTCTTGTGACAATCTCATGCACTTGCAGAGATTTGGGCAGATTGTTGCAGAGTGCTTTCTCCTCCCACTTGTTCTGTGTCTCCCTCTGGAACCCTGTGGGGAGGTGGGTGAGGGGTCCCCTCACTGTAGTGAGAGAGTAGTCAATGCCGCATGCTCTGGGCACATGCCGAGGGGCCCAGCCTCTCTCACTCTGAAGCCTGGCACCTTCCAAGACCTTGCAGCTGCAAGTGGTGCAGCGGCTTGCCCATGGCCCCACCTGCTGTCAGAGCTGTGCTACTGCAGCCACTCCTTTCATGAAACAAGAGGCCCAGGCAACCCTCACTGCTGGCTGGAGTTCCATCTTTCCTTGCTTGGAACACCGCACCCTCTGCAGGGCCCCAGTGGCACGGCTCTCACATGCTGTTCCTCCCAGCTTGCCCTTCTCAGAACGAGACTTTGCATCTTTACAGGACCCTCGGGCGACTCACTGGCCCGTGGAGGTCTGAGAAACACTAGTCAGGAGGCCTGAGAAGGAAGAACATGCATCCAGTTGGAAGCCCAGGGGAGACATGGAATGGAGAGAGAAAATTCCAAGAGACACACAGAGAACCTTCCAAAATTAGAGAAACCATCAACAATTCCCAAACAGGATAAACAAATAATACAAATAAACTCGACCTGGAACAGTTGAGTGGATAGAAACAGCACACGTAAGATCGGGTGTGCACGAGGAGATGCGAACACCGGGAACAGTCGAGTGGGTAGAAACAGCACACGTAAGATCGGGTGTGCACGAGGAGATGCGAACACCGGGAACAGTCGAGTGGGTAGAAACAGCACACGTAAGATCAGGTGTGCACGAGGAGATGCGAACACCGGGAACAGTCGAGTGGATAGAAACAGCACACGTAAGATCGGGTGTGCACGAGGAGATGCGAACACCGGGAACAGTCGAGTGGGTAGAAACAGCACACGTAAGATCGGGTGTGCACGAGGAGATGTGAACACCGGGAACAGTCGAGTGGGTAGAAACAGCACACGTAAGGTCGGGTGTGCACGAGGAGATGTGAACACTGGGAACAGTCGCGTGGGTAGAAACAGCACACGTAAGGTCGGGTGTGCACGAGGAGATGTGAACACTGGGAACAGTCGCGTGGATAGAAACAGCACACGTAAGATCGGGTGTGCGTGAGGAGATGCGAACACCGGGAACAGTCGCGTGGGTAGAAACAGCACACGTAAGATCGGGTGTGCGTGAGGAGATGCGAACACCGGGAACAGTCGAGTGGATAGAAACAGCACACGTAAGATCGGGTGTGCACGAGGAGATGCGAACACCGGGAACAGTCGCGTGGGTAGAAACAGCACACGTAAGATCGGGTGTGCGTGAGGAGATGCGAACACCGGGAACAGTCGAGTGGATAGAAACAGCACACGTAAGATCGGGTGTGCGTGAGGAGATGCGAACACCGGGAACAGTCGAGTGGATAGAAACAGCACACGTAAGATCGGGTGTGCGTGAGGAGATGCGAACACCGGGAACAGTCGAGTGGGTAGAAACAGCACACGTAAGATCGGGTGTGCGTGAGGAGATGCGAACACCGGGAACAGTCGAGTGGATAGAAACAGCACACGTAAGATCGGGTGTGCACGAGGAGATGTGAACACCGGGAACGGTCGAGTGGGTAGAAACAGCACACGTAAGATCGGGTGTGCGTGAGGAGATGCGAACACCGGGAACAGTCGTGTGGGTAGAAACAGCACACGTAAGATCGGGTGTGCACGAGGAGATGTGAACACCGGGAACAGTCGAGTGGGTAGAAACAGCACACGTAAGGTCGGGTGTGCGTGAGGAGATGCGAACACCGGGAACAGTCGTGTGGGTAGAAACAGCACACGTAAGATCGGGTGTGCACGAGGAGATGCGAACACCGGGAACAGTCGAGTGGGTAGAAACAGCACACGTAAGATCGGGTGTGCGTGAGGAGATGCGAACACCGGGAACAGTCGCGTGGGTAGAAACAGCACACGTAAGATCGGGTGTGCGTGAGGAGATGCGAACACCAGGAACAGTCGAGTGGGTAGAAACAGCACACGTAAGGTCGGGTGTGCGTGAGGAGATGCGAACACCCGCAGGTCTCTGTCTCATTCCACTAGAGGGAGAAGACACTGAGTGTAGACTCTCAACGCACATGTTAAAGTTTCAATGACCACTAACAACAAAGAAGTCCGATATGTAACCTCTGTGACAGGAAACAAGTGAGGGGAAAAATTATTAATCCAACAGAAGAAAAGGAGTGAAATAAAAAAGAAACTCTGGAAAAGCAGGACAATTAGAAAACAAGTGTCAAAAATTAGTCTAAATATGTGGATGATTGTGATCAAAGTAAAATTATGAAATTCCAGTTAAGAAGCAAAGGCTGCCAGACTATATTTTTAAGCTGAACAAATAGGCAAGCAAACAAGCAAAAAATAATTTTTTTGTTTTTTTTTCTTTCAAGAGACACACCTAAAGCATAAGAACCCAGAAAAAATGAAAGAATGGGAAAAGGCTAAGGAATATGCAACAAAATCAGCTGGTGTACCAATATTAACATCAGTAGGGGGAAAAAAACAAGACTTTAAGAGAAAAACTTTACTCATTACATGTTGATAGAAAATTCAGCTCACAAGAAGATATAATTCAAAATTTATACGTGCCTAAAACATAGCTTTAAAATATATTTTAAAAATTGACAAAACATAGATAATTTGACAGACATTATAGCAAAAACTTGGCACACCTCTCTTTCCATGAGTGATAGGCCAAGTAGACAAGTGTGAAGAAGGCATCAACAGAACCACCCGTGATCCTGACGTGATTGCCGTACCTCGAACGTTACACCTGCCACAGCTGTAGAATTCATGGAGACATTTACAAAACCTCATCACATACCAGCCCATAAAGCACATCTCATCATCTTTCAAAAATTGGAATCGTATCGACCACACTCTCTTAGCACAAAGCAATTGCAGTCATGCACCACATGACGGTTCAGCCAACATCAGACCACACAGACGATGGTGATGCCATGAGAGTATAGTGGAGCTGAGAAATTCCTGTTGCCTGGTGACCTTGCAGCTGACCTGAGGTTGCAGTGCAGCACGTTACCCCCACGTGTGCTGCTGGTGCAAACCCACTGCACTGCCAGCCGTCTAGCCATCTAGCACCTGCCGTTAAGCACAGCTCGTCATTCTAAATGACGCTGATAAACAACTGTGTTACTGGTTTGTGTATTACTATGCTTTTTATCATTATTTTAGTGTATTCCTTCTAATTATCTAAAAAATGTTAGCTGTAAAACAGCCTCAGGCAGGTCCCGCAGGAGGTGTCCAGAAGGAGGCACTGTGATCATCGGAGATGACTATGTCAAACGGTGTGGTTTTGGTGCAGTGGGAGACAAGTAGACTGGATCAGACATGAGAGCCCAGGATCCCTCACACAGGAAGGAAGCCGTCTATGAGACTTGGACAGGACAGAGCTGCCCACGAGAGCCTGGGAGAGGGCAGATGCTCCACACAGTGCCAGGACGGTGGGTCAACCACGTGGGGAAATTGATCTTTACTTCCTGCCATAAACAAAAATCATTTCCCATGTGTCAAGAACTCCAACACAAGACAGAAGAATTTAGCAGTTTTAGGAGAAAATATAGAAGAATGTCCTATTCTGAGATCAGGGGACGATTTCTTAAAACGTAAGCACAGACTGTAAAGGAAAATACTGGTGAGTTCAACTTTGTGAAATGTTGGAATACTGTTTCTCATAAGACACCATGGGAGAGCGGGGAGAAGATCTGTGCAGCAGGAGTGACAGACAGGATGGCATCTGAAATGCTGGGGTGCTCTTGAGAAGTCAGCAAAAATCAAGCAATAAGAAACATGGGCGAATGACAGAAACAGACATTTTGCTGGAGATGAAATAGAATGCAGGTTAGAACCACTGTGCTGGGGGCCTGTTTCTTGGCCTGAGTGATAGTTGTATGGGTGCATTCATTTTGTGATCATTCATTGAGTTGCATCTTAAATGCTTGTAATTTTAGTAGTTGTCTATGTGTTACATTCTGAAACAATGTGAAATAGAAAAGACAGTTTACAGAGAAACATCAGTAATGGGATACATCCCCTGCCCATCCTCCTACCCTCCTCTCCCTCCCTCTCCCCCTCCTCCCTCCCCTCCCCTTCCTCCCTCTCCCCCTACATCCTCCCCTCCTCTCCCTCCCTCCCTCTCGCCTGCCTACCTGACTTTCTTCCTCTTTCCTCTCAGTGGTTTGGAGGTACTGGTGAGAACCAAAAGCCTCATTTTTTCAACAGGGCAGAATTTTCCCAAAAAGTGGAAGGCCCCTTGGCACTTAGTCCTGTTCTCTCCTTTAAAAAATGTGGAAATTGAGTCCAAACGAGGTGCAGTGGCCTGACTGATCCCGGGCAGAGCTAGGGTGAGCACCCGCCCATCCTCTCCACAGATGCTCCCCCAGCACCGCCCAGTGCTAGTCCAGGCCTCCCTAGGACGTCCCCTACATTTGTAGGTGGGGAGAAGAGAGATTTGTTTGCTAGTGTGGTCATTTCATCATAAAAAGCCCAAAACGTATCAGGAGACATTTTTGTCATCCGCAGCCACAGCTGCTGCTCACTCACATCCATTCCCCCACTTTATAGTCAAGGAACTGAGGCCTGGAGACACCAGGCCTTCCTGTCGCCACGGCCACAAGCTGAGCCATCTTGGAGCCGACTCCAACCCCTGTAGAGCCCAGGGAGCGCCCCTCCCCGTGCCCCATTCCCTGGCCATGGGGCAGCTCCTGAGCCCCACTAGGAGTCGGGGGTTTGCGGATCCCATCTGTGCCATTCAGCGTCCTGTGGCTGTGGATGAATTTGCCAGGAGTGTCTCACCCCGCCGTGGGCGATCTTGCCTGCAGCTCTCCTACCCGGCCTGGGACACTTGCGGTCTTTCCTGACGTGCCCCGTCCAGGTGGGGCGCCTTCACTAGGACCCCAGATGCGCCTGCTTCCTCCTCCTGCCCCCGCAGGGCCTCGTGTATCTCCGGGAGGTAGACTGTCCCGGTGACTTCAGCTGGTGTCCTTGGGACAGGATGTCCCCCACAAGCTCTCCTGGCACCCTCGTCAGGGGCTTCCACACACATCCCCTCAGATAACCCGGCACACCCGTTCACGTTACATCATGGGGCAGCGCAGATGCCACAATGCCCTGCCCCCCAGCCCAGACCTGGCTGCAAGGCCAGGGGTTGGGGAGGGGCAGGGCTGGGGAGCAGGCCCCCCGATCCTCCCAGGGTACTAGGTACTGAGGAAGGAAGGGCCTTTATCTTGACTCTGGGTGAACTCTTAGGGGAGGGCTCCCAGCTCCTGAGAGGCCAAGTTCAAACCCACCCAGGAGCACACAGCTGGGAAGGCGCTGGGACCACAGTCGCCGCATTCCTGACTGTGCTCCCTGGTGTCAGGGAACCCAGGTGCCAGGGGTGGCCAGGGCAAGCATGGGGGTCTGGTCAGGTGCTCAGCAGCCGGCCTTCTCACGTGCAGATGGCAGCTCTGCTCCGAGCGCCCACACCCCCCAGCATTGGTGGCCTCTGTGGCAGCTTCTGCCACCCATACCCTGTGCAGTGAGGAAGCTGAGGTGCCTGCCTGGCTGTGGGTCGCAGGAGTCCACACACAGCCACGCTGGGATTTATTTGGGTTGAATGTTCTGAAGGGAAAATGCTGGGGAGGTGGTGCCCTCCCCAAATGTGCCACCTCCCCTGCCTGCTGGGCAGCACCACAGAGGAGCTTTGCCCAGGGTCCTCCTGAGCCCCAGGACACCCTCTGCAGCACCCAGCCTTGACAGCCCCACTGGAGGCCTGTGGCTCCTGGGAAAGCCAGGCCTGAGGAGCACCATGCCCTCTGCTGAGCAGCCCTGGGCTCTCCAAAGGGTGGAAGAATTATGAGCCTCACCTTGCCACGTTTACCATTATCTTCTGCTATTTTTAGTTTTTATTTAAGAAATGAGGCTCAGGTAAAATAACTTTAAAAATGGCATCAAAGCCCCCTTGAAAAGTCTTGTGGCCCGAGGATGGGAGGAGAAGGGCTGGGGGCAGCCTGCAGGGACCGGGGACACAGGCGGCTCCCAGCTGAGGGCCCGAGGCGTCCCTCCCTCATGCCTTCCACAGAACCTTCTAGCACTAGTGTTCTGTAATCCCAGGAAAGGCAAGACGCTTCTGGAGGTGACTAAAAGGCAGATGTGTGGCCCCTCAGGTGTTCCCCCCACCCCAGGTCACCTCATGGGTAAAGCAAGGCCCTGCAGGGGAGGGGAGTGGGCCAGGCCTAGCACAGGGTGAGACCAGGGCGAGGTTTGCAAACTCATGCCTCTGTGGATCCCACAGGGGCTAGGCTGATTTTAGTGACTAGTGACTCGGCCTTGAATCTCCTAGAAGTGCAGCTGGTCTTCATCTGTGGCTCCTGGACTCCCCCAGACTCTCCATGGCCCACTGGCCCCAGCCTCCTGTCCACACCAGCTGGTGAGAGGGAGGCTGGGCCGGTCTAGGCTGGAGCTGCCGGGGAGCCAGGGAGAGAAGACAGCGGCTTCCGGAGCTGCCTTCTGCACGCCGGGCATTGGCCTGCTCACAGCCTGGACTCCATTGGCTTCCCCCAGGCCAAGTCCTTGCGTTCTCTTGCATCTGCCATGTGTCCGCATGGCCCTCTTTCTATCTATCTGTGCAAAGTTCTGTTACTGCCGTTTTAATTTGGTGTGACTTGTACTCGATGACAATAACCTTCTTAGCTCTCGTGTCCCTCCTACCCCAGCAGTTGACCAAGCTCCACCAGTTGGCCATGCAGCAAACCCCCTTTCCTCCCCTCGGACAGACCAACCCCGCTTTCCCCGGTACGTACCCAGCCCTTTTCTCACCTCCTTCTCTTCTCACCTGGGGACTTTCTCTTTCTGAGCTGTGTTATTCGGTGCAGTGCATAGAACAGGTGCAGTTGGATTTGTGAGTGCCGGTGCTGCGGCGTTCACATGCAGCAGGCTTGCTGGGGCTGGGGCCGGGGACAGGGTGGGGGCGGGAGGTGGGTCTCGCTCCCACTGTTGGGGGCTGGTTCACCTTACAGCTGGCCTTGCCATAGCCTTGCTTGTGAAGAGACGTCTGCCCACCGAGGGTCTGCACTTGCTGGGCAGTGCCCTGTGCTGCCCGCAGTCTGTCCTGGGTGGCCCTTCCTGCTGAGCGTACCCACTGGGCCGCCCTGGAGGCTTTTCTCTCCAGGAGCAAGAGCACAGCTGACGTGGATGCTCTTCTGCAGGAAGCCACTGCGTATCCCAAGGTGGCACCCAGCCCTGCCCCAGGAGAGCAGTGACCCGAGTCAGCCCTAGCCCAGTCGCTGTCATGAGGCCATCA